>NC_000003.12:172190422-172341937 GCF_000001405.40 Homo sapiens | reverse complement strand
AAGTTAAAACCATTTAGATAACAATTATTTCTAGAGTACTCCATGTATATTTATTAGGTTGTTTTGCGCCTATGAGAGTACTATGTGGTTGAAACTAAGGCTCCTGACATGTTAACAGGTTAGTCTAAAGTCATATAAATAGTAGAAACAAAAGAATGGATGCTGCCTACAGATGTGTACGTTGGGTACCACACAACTTCAGGAGGTGCCACTCAGCTCAGTCATCATGGATTTATATTGTTTTTGCAACAACTTTCCAGCAGATGGCAGTAAAGTACCTTGAGGAAGGTATGTCTCAAATTCTTAAAATTGATAGATGTGGTAACAGCAGTGCTGTGCAGGTCTTATCTTTTTACTCTAAAATCTATAGTTTTTTAATCATTGCAATAACCGAGGTCTCCTTTATTTAGTCAATGCAAATTCCAGACAATTTTCAACTGTCACAGGTGATTATGTCAAAGCCTTCTGAGAAATGAGTGAGTGACAAATGTACCCGAAAATACCACAATTCAGTAGGGAATCATTTAGGCCTATCTTATACCTCTAAACAGCAATTCAGAAAGCTCTATTTTTCATTTCCTGACATGATACTATTAGGTTGCATTACCAAGATACATTGTTTAAACTGCAATTTGCTTCTGATGTTATAGACAGTTTGTCCGAATTTGATCAATGAGGTTTACTTTCATATGGAAACAAAACCAACCTGGCTGTGTCCGCCGGTACTGATGCAGCATGCTCGGAGTTTGTACAAAGTGCCTGGTTTCAAGTGGGTGAAGGTGTATTCGGTAGCCGACCCACTGTAGGCCACTTCCCACTGATTCGCTGTAAAACAAGACTTATGCATGACTTTATGCCTCTTGTAAAAATGTAGCATATCAGCCATTGCTGACAAGAAAAAGCTCTATGTTTTCATGAAAACCAACATCTTCTTTTTCTTTTTAAATAGCCAGAAAGCTCTTCCTTTTTCTTTTACAAAGTTAAATACCAAAATAACATTGAGTCATTTTTAATACTTAGTGTTGCTGGCTAGACTACCTATTATCACCACAATTACATTTGCTATGAGGTTTGGATGTGGGAAACCATAATGAAACGTGCCGCTGGCATGGAGGGAGTGGTAGGAGACACAGAACAGGGGTGGGCAAGCTATCAAATGCTCCTGGTGTGAGGAGGCCTCAGGGGCAGCCAGGCACGGGGCTACTTCTTGGCCACGAGGCTTCTGGCAAGTCTGGGGTGGTACGCAAGAATTTCTCCCTGTTCTTATCTGCCTAGAGGTCAAAGGAAGTGAAATCCTCTTTTAAAAACTGGGTCTTTTGACTGCCTTCATGGAGCTCCACTTAAAAGACAAAAATTACAGGCGGTGGCTCACGCCTGTAATCCCAGCACTTTAGGAGGCCGAGGTGGGTGGATCACCTGAGGTCAGGAGTTTGAGACCAGTCTGGCCAACCTGGCGAAACCTTGTCTCTACTAAAAATACAAAAATTAGCTGGGCATGGTGGTGGGCACCTGTAATCACAGCTACTTGGGAGGCTGAGGCAAGAGAATCACTTGAACCCAGGAGGCAGAGGTTGCAGTGAGCCGAGATTGCGCCGTTGCACACCAGCCTGGGCGACAGAGTGAAACTCTCTCAAAAAAAAAAAAAAAAAAAGACAAAAATGCCTACGGGGGTGACAAATTAAAGACCAAATGTGGCATGACCCAAGTGATCTGACCGCTTTGTGGAACTGAAGAGAGAAACGGTCACCAGGAGTCTGGGTGCCCCCCAAGGCTGATGCCGTCAGAAGCAAGGGCACCCAGGGCTGCCTCAGCCGCCTGCCTGACTCACAATTCCAGGCCACTGGGAGGCTCTTCACTCCTCTGTTTTATTCCCACTCACGCTGTGTTTCCAGTTGACCACTTTACAAAAGCCTTTTACTACATGAAGTTGTTTTAGGGGAAATGCTTTTTCTATTCCCTGGTATTTTAACTAGAGTAACTTCCACAAATTCCCCCAGCGGCTTATTAGTTTAGATTCACAACAGAGTCGCATGCACTAAGGCCATATGAAGAAAGGCAATAGCAAAGGCAATTATCCTGATATTACAGGTCAAAAAAACCTGTACTGAAAAGGTGACTGGGAGCAAGGATTACTGAAAAGATTCAATCACTCACTCAGCCATGCAGTCACAAAGTTGTTAACTGGAAGTCCAGAAGGGCCCCTACTTTTGATTTGTCATCAGTAGCTAAAGGGAGCCATGAGAATTCAAAACATACTTAAATATTCACAACGAGCCACTGGCATATACATGACTTCTAACCTAGTTGGGTTTTTCTAATGAAGAAAAGCTAAACCAGGTTTTTTGTTTGTTTGTTTGTTTTTTGTTTTTTCTTCCGAGACAGAGTCTTACTCTGTCGCCCAGGCTTAAGTGCAGTGGTGCGATCTCGGCTCACTGCGACCTCCGACTCCTGGGTTCCAACGACTCTCCTGCCTCTGCCTCTCAAGTAGCTGGAATTACAGGCACATGCCACCACACCCAGCTAATTTTTGTATTTTTTCTAGCAGAGACGGGTTTCACCATGTTGGCCAGGCTGGTCTCGAACTCCTGACCTCGTGATCCACCCATCTCGCCTCCTAAAGTGCTGGGATTACAGGTGTGAGCCACCATGCCCAGCAGTTCTAAACCAGGTTTTTAACCACAAAATATGATTTTATGTTTAGAACAGCTGTGCTCATCTCAAAAGAATTCTCATGTTTTCAGCTTAAAATAGGAACCAACAGACTTAAAAAAATTCCAGGTGGTTCTCATGGTACAGAATAAAAAGCCAGCCACACATCAGCACTGCTTGCTTGTAAAAGTTTTATCAATGCTCTCTGTTTTTGGCATTAGCATGTGCCATTTAAAAAAAAATTTAATGGTGGGCCGGGCGCGGTGGCTCACACCTGTAATCCCAGCACTTTGGAAGACCGAGGTGGGTGGATCACGAGGTCAGGAGATCGAGACTATCCTGGGTAAAACGGTGAAACCCCGTCTCTACTAAAAATTCAAAAAAAATTAGCCGGCCTAGTGGTGGGCGTCTGTAGTCCCAGCTACTCCGGAGGCTGAGGCGGGAGAATGGCATGAACCCAGGAGGCGGAGCTTGCAGTGAGCCGAGATCACGCCACTGCACTCTGTCGCCTGGGCGACAGAGCGAGACTCCGTCTCAAAAAACAAAACAAAACAAAACAAAACAAAACCTTAATAGTTAGAGAGATTATTACAGTGGTGAGATGATATGTCATTTAAAAAGTTTTGAAGACTATACTTTTCTCTATTAAAGTCTAATGAATTTTATTAGAAAGAAAACCTTAGAATTTTTAAAAAGGCACTAAGGAATTTTATTTCTAACATTTGTCCCATGTTAATCCACCCAGTATGAATAGTAACAAAAACCTGAAGCAAAATGACAATGAAGTTGGAAAGACATTTTCTAAACTTGTTATAAAAGTGTGATTCTTGTCACTAGCCCACAATACTATATACTGTTTAATCATGCATGGGAATTTGTAGATTACTGAACCTACCCCTTTTCACTATCTCCACCTTCCCCTTCCTGCCTCTGATACTCTCTTTGCTTATAAGAATTTTTTTTTTTTTTTTTTTTTGAGACAGAGTCTCACTCTGTCACCAGGCTGGAGTGCAGTGGTGCAATCTCAGCTCACTGCAACCTCCGCCTGCTGGGTTCAAGCAATTCTTCTGCCTCAGCCTCCCAAGTAGCTGGGACTACAGGTGCCTGCCACCACACCCAGCTAATTTTTGTATTTTTAGTAGAGACGGGGTTTCACCATGTTGGCCAGGATGGTCTTGATCTCTTGACCACCCACCTCAGCCTCCCAAAGTGCTGGGATTACAGCGTGAGCCACCACTCTCGGCTGCTTATAAGAATTTCCAGAAAACATATGGCAAGTTAGGAGATGAAAATACCAAATTTATCTGATTAATTAGGAACCCTAGTTCATAAAAAGACATGGAAGCTGAGTGTGGTGATTCATGTCTATAGTCCCAGCACTTTGGGAGGCCAAGGTGGAGGGTTGCTTGAGGCCAGGAGTTTGAGACCAGCCTAGATAACATAGTGAGACCCCATCACTATGAAAAATGTATTCTTCCTCATCTTCTGTGGCAGAAGAGTCACTTAAGCCCAGGAGTTTGAGACTGCAATGGGCCATGTTTGTGCCACTGCCCTCCAGCCTGTGTGACAGAGATCGTATCTCAAAAAACAAAACAAAAACAAACCAAACCAAAGAAACAAAAACAAAAGATAAACAAAACAAAACACCAATGAAAAAGATACAGAAAAATTGTTAAATAACACAAATGTAAGTTTCAAGTAGACTCTGATCTCTGGTGCTGTGTTTGAAATAGAAAAACTGCCAATATGTGACTAAAGTTTGTTTATTGTAATAATAATTCTATCTTTAGAATTAATGATTACTCACTATTACTATAAAGACATTTACTATATTAGAAAACAGAGCTTGCTATTGGATTTGAATAAAACAATTGCCAAAAACTTCACCTTCAGAATTTCCATCAGTAATCTCTAGCAAGTACTTGAGGATTTCTGAACCACCATTGTCCTTAGGGGGATCTGGAAAATAACCAAATGTCTTATTAGCAATAAAAGGATATTGATTTTTATTGGTAAACATCATCAGGACTCATAAAATCACACACCATTATACTATCTGAATTCTAGACATGACCAAAAGGCAAAATAATTTATTTCACCAACTCCTCTGTTGAAAAAAAAGAAAAAAACAAACCAGGAATCTCTGAATACTATCAGACTATTCAAAGTTCTTAGATATAGAAATGTCAAAGAGCATTCATGTAGTGAAATATGAACAAAAAACTCGGCACAAACTGATCAAGTTGTTGAATTTACTTGAAGGTGCTCTTTAATATATTTGATGATTTTTATGTAAGACTGTATGTTCATATTTCTGATTTTATTCTTTTTATTTCACTTATTTTATCAGTGACTAGATTCTTTTGTTTTTTTTTTTTTTCCGTCTGAGATGGAGTTTCGCTCTGTTGCCTAGGCTGGAATGCAATGGCGCCATCTCGGCTCACGGCAACCTCTGCCTCCTGGGTTCAAGCGAGTCTCCTTCCTCAGCCTCCCAAGTAGCTGGGATTACAGGCGCCCGCCACTACGCCTGGCTAATTTTTTTGTATTTTTAGTAGAGACAGGGTTTCACCACGTTAGTCAGGCTGGTCTTGAACTCCAGACCTCAGGTGATCCACTTGCCTCAGCCTCCCAAAGTGCTGGGATTACAGGCATGAGCCACCGTGCCCGGCCAACAAGATTCTTTTGAGTGATGGAAAGGAACGGAAAGAGAAGTACAAAATTTATTGACAAAATAAATAAAATATCAAAATGGAATACGTCCATTCTAGCAGTTTCCTACCAAGCAAACTTTACATCCCAGCATCCCAGGTGAATGTGGTATGAAACCAGAGGTGTGGATCAATGAGAACCAGTGCACCAGCAGACAGTCTGAGGAAGAAGGTTCTGGCTTATGACTAGAGCCCTAGGCACCTTGGGTATATAGTCTACCCATAACTCTGTGCCTAAAGGAATTTTATTTTCTGAGCAGAAAAACACTTCCTTTGCAGTCTAATTTTGCAAAACTATAAAGAATGTACCCTTATTATCAGTCTGCCACTTCTATATTCTTAGACATAGCGGAGATTTTTCTAAAAAATCTTAAGTTTTACTTATATATAAATTTAGAACATTCACTTCCCCTCTCCTTCACCTGGTATTTCCATTAATGTATATATACTTCAGTAGTAGATATTTACAATAATAATTATAAAGTTAAATATTATAGCATATAGCCAATGAAAGTAAGTAGTGTTGACAGAACTTTCTGAGGTTCTTTGAGAGAAAAGCTCTATGGTCTGGCTAAAAGCACATCTAGATTTTTATCATTTCTCTGAATTATATCCATCTCTTGGGGAAACAGAAATCCTAATAATTCTATCTCACAATTATTAGGTAACTTGAAACAGTTATATGTCTCAGTGGTTGGTGTAATAATGTTTTAAATTCCCCTTATATTACTTGGCTGCAAGGTAAAATTTTATTTAAGATTTCAACTTTTTTTTTGCCTATTAGTTAATATTATTATGACATTAGTAAAAATGATACGCATAACACTTTTACATATTAATTGTCAACCTTCTAATTGTATTCATTTTATTGAAATAATTCACACAACAGAGGTGAGGCACAATATCCTTTTGCCAGACAACCTCAAACTCCTTATGAACTTTAATGTTAAAATTTCCCAAAGTTCAAGACTTTATACAACAAACACCAATGGAAACAAAACTATCCCTAATTCATTGCAACTTAAATGTTCTGTATGCTAAAGTTTACTTAACAAACCTAAATTTTGAAATTTATTTTCAATATTAACTTTATAAATCAAAATTTTTCTATTAAGTATTGCTAATTTTTTAAGGATGAACTATTGAAGAATGAACGATGCATGCAGAGATTACTACATTCAAATCCATGCCTTAAAAATATAGGAGAAAAAAATATGTAAACAGGAAAATCATAGAGTAAATGAGATACTCTTAAAAATCATCCATTTTAATTTCCACTAAAATTTAATTGTCCATTACGATTACATTTTAATGAAATTGTCCATTCCAATTTGTAGAATTCTCAGGATGTTTCTCACACATATATTCCGAATGCAGAAAACTTCTGCAAATACCATCCACAATTTTTTTGGCTTGTCACTACTAAAATGAATCATTTTTTAAAAATCTATCAAAAGAAAAAAAAAAAAAAAACAGTAGCAGCAGCAGCAAAACATACCCCATTTGACACTAAAGCCATGAGATGTAACTGGGCCTTTGACAAGCGGTCTGGTAGGAGGTCCAGGCCTGTCAGGACTCGTCGTACAAACAAGAACTTCGCTTGGACAGCTTTTTCCTTCCGTATTAGAAGCAGTCAGCTAGAACACAACCAAGGAAACGTTAACATGATTTAGTTATCAGGGATCATTAAATTAATGGTCACTTTTTAACATGGTGAGATTAAGGCACCCATAAACTCAGACACACACACATTTTTTTCTCTTTCAACTCAAGTATTAACAGTATTTATTTTATAAATCATTTACTGTATAGTTGGTTATTAACAATTAAAAATAAAACCAGCCAGCACAGTGGCTCACGCCTGTAATCCTAACACTTTGGGAGGCCAAAGTGGGTGGATCACCTGAGGTCAAGAGTTCGAGACCAGCCTGACCAACATGGAGAAACCCCATCTCTACTAAAAGTACAAAATTAGCTGGGCGTGATGGCACATGCCTGTAATCCCAGCTACTCGGGAGGCTGAGGCAGGAGAATCCCTTGAACCTGGGAGGCAGAGGTTGCGGTGAGCCAAGATCATGCCATTGCACTCCAGCCTGGGCAACAAGAGCGAAACTCCAACTCAAAAAATAAATAAATAAAAATAAAATGATAAGATGGGTTTTAAAGATATTTTTACCCTTTCAAAAAGACATGATAAAACAAGTATGTCATCACCTGGTTTGTATTGTTTTGTGAAAGGAAAATATGGGGGTGGGGGGGGGGACATAAAAATAGCCCCACTTTTTAAAGCGTAGGGCAATGCCACCTTGTGGAGAAACGTTAGCAGTATAGCTATGTTCTCATAGCCAGCATCGATAATAAGGGTTTTAAAAAATATGTTAAAAATTATCATTTCCCTCAAATAGTCACACACTGCACTTGATAATTTGGCAACTATTTATTGAGTGATTGCTATGTGCCAAATAATAGCATTTGGTCCCTGACTTAGAGAAGAATGTGTGGAATCAGAAGACAATCTTATCTTCCAAAACGCACACTTGTCATACTAGAAAATACAGTGCTGCAGAATATCGTTTTGATCTCTTAGTGATCGTAAAGTCATATTCACTTTTTTGGCTACTACACATAGTCCTATAGTAACATTAATGGTGGCTGTTAATGACCAAAGACAGCCCAGGTAGGGAGGGGGTGGGTCATGGAAGAGAAAATTACAAGCAAGTGAGGAAAAATAAATGGGCAGAAGAGCAAAGGAAAGTGAAGAGCAAAGAGACTGCTCGAAAGGAAAAAGGTATGGAGTGCAGGTAAGTGACAGGTGCACTCCAGCACCTGGTGTGTCTCTTCCCAGGCAAGGGCATTTGGCCATGCTGTAAATGCAATTTATTACAGCACATGATGACAATTTTTGTGCTCACAAGTTGGTTTTAAAATTAAAGCATGGGCCAGGCGCAGTGGCTCATGCCTGTAATCACAGCACTTTGGGAGGCCGAGGCAGGTGGATCACGAGGTCAGGAGATTGAGACCAGCCTGGCCAACATGGTGAAACCCCCGTCTCAACTAAAAATACAAAAAAAAAAAAAAAAAAAAAAAAAAAATTAGCCGGGCATAGTGGCACACGCCTATAGTCCCAGCTACTCGGGAGGCTGAGGCAGGAGAACTGCTTAAACCCGGGAGGCAGAGGTTGCAGTGAGCCGAGATCGTGCCACTGCACTCCAGCCTGAGTGACATAGAGACTCCATCTCAAATAAATAAATAAAGCATGTTGTACACTTTATAAATGTTACTTTCAAAATGTAAAGTGCTGTGAACTTCATTTTTTAACCTGTAGAGTCAATCTGACATGGTAAATGGTGAAATAGAAAACAGTTTCATTTTTAAGCAGTTCAGGTAGCAAAATGACTGACTCACCCTGAATTTATACTGTGTGCTTCTTTTGAGATTTTTCACAGTACAGGTTAAATCCTCTCCAGTGTATTTTGGGTGGAAAAGGTTATCCTGAAAAGGCAAAGCCAGGAAGAAACATCAGTATAAAAAATTCTGGGCATTAAATACCTTTGAATACAGGATTTTTATACTGCCTTTCCCTACCATCACCAGCAACTGGCCAGAGGTCTGGCAGCTACCGCAAAAGAGAAAAATCAGAAGCCCAGAGTATTGTGGATAGCACTTGAGCTTTAAATAAAAATTTATCTCCATCACACTGTAATTTCTCCTGGGTCTGGTCAAATTTATTGTGACAAAGGAGTTAAGCAACTTTTGAAAATACATTTAACATTTTTAATGTTGTCATGAAAAAAGCCCTTTGCACCGAGGTCTTTACTATCAAACTGCAATGTGCTATGCAGTAAAGTGTGGCTGAGCTTCCTGACCACACAGTGCCCTCTTCTGGCCATGGGAGAAAGGACAGCTTAGATGGGAAAGGGCACAATCCTTTAGGAGGGCAAACATTCCACTAAAAGTTGAACTCAGGGAACTCATTCAATAGTTCTATCTCTATCATTCTATCATTCACTCATCAAAATACTACTTAGTACCTTCTCTGTGTTGGGCTGTCCTCTAGGCTCTAAGGATTCAGCACTGCCCAAGAACAGAAAAGGCCTTGCCCACAAGAAGCTCACATTCCAGTGGGAGAAGACAATACAGAAAAGCTGCTATGTATGTCACATGGTGTTAAGTGCTATGACAAAAACTAAAGCTAGGTAGGAGGATACAGTGGTGGAACTGGTGAGGGCTTTCTACAGCTGCTGGAGGTAAATATGGTAGCCATATGTGGCTCTTTGAATTTAAGTTTATTACAATTAAAAACTCAGTACTGGCTGAGCTTGGTGGCTCACAACTGTAATCCCAGCACTTTGGGAGGCTGAGGTGGGCAGATCACCTGAGGTTGGGAGTTCGAGACCAGCCTGACCAACATGGAGAAACCCCGTCTCTACTAAAAATACAAAATTAGCCAGGCGTGGAGCTGCGTGCCTATAATCCCAGCTACTCGGGAGGCTGAGGCAGGAGAATCACTTGAACCTGGGAGGCAGAGGTTGCAGAGGGCCAAGATTGCACCACCGCACTCCAGCCTGGACAACAAGGCGAAACTACATCTCAAAACAAACAAACAAGCACAAACCCTCCATACTATAGGCCAACATGCATATGTCAGGTGCTCGAGAGTTGTATGTGTATAGGTGCCACCATACTGGATGGCACAAATTATAAAATATTTCCATCACTGCAGAAAGTTCTATTGGGTGGTGCTGTTCTACAGTGTGATCAGGGAAGGACTGCCCAAAGAAATGACATATGAGAACAGACTTGAAGAAAATGAGGGAAGGGAGTCAAAGACATCTGGAAGGGCATTCTGGCCAGAAGGCAGAACTGAAAAGGCTTTGAGGCCACAGCACACACGGTGTGTTTAAAGAACTGACTAGAGGCTGGCTGGGTGCGGTGGCTCACACCTGTAATCCCAGCACTTTGGGAGGCTGAGGAGGGCAGATCATGAGGTTAGGAGATGGAGACCATCCTGGCTAACATGGTGAAACCCCATCTCTACTAAAAATACAAAAAAAAATTAGCCGGGTGTGGTGGCGGGCGCCTGTAGTCCCAGCTACTTGGGAAACTGAGGCAGAAGAATGGCATGAACTTGGGAGGCGGAGCTTGAGGTGAGCCAACATCGCGCCACTGCACTCCAGCCTGGGTGACAGAGCAAGACTCCATCTCAAAAACAAAACAAAACAAAAAGAACAGACTAGAGGCTAATAAGACTACAGTGAGTGGAAGCAACGAGGACAGTAATGGAGAGCCCAATCACACAGGACCTTGTGGGCATTGTAAGAGCTCTAGGGATTTTACTCTGAAAAAGAGGGGAAGGCACTGAGACAGGAAGGATTCTGAGCAGGGTGCTGACATGATCTATTTGTATTTTACAAGATGATGTTCTCCACCCAGGCTCTGTATGGAGAACAGACTGAAGCCTAGTAAGGATGAAGTTAGGAATATTAAGAGGCTATAATCCAATAACAATATTATGTTATTGCAATAATCCACAGGTGAGATGAGTGGCTCATAAAAGGATAGTAGCTGTGGAGATAAAAATGGTTAATTTCTAAATAATTTCTAAGGAAGATTCAAAAGGATTTTCTGATTATATATAGGATCAAGGATGACTCCAAGAGTTTTTGCTTCCCCAGCTGAAAGGATGGAAATGTCATTTACAGAGATGGGAAAGAACAGGCCGGTGTTGGTAGTGGTGGTGACAGAGGCAGAAATTAAGAGTTTGGCTTTGAACTGATGCAGTTAATCTAATTTCATGGTGCCCTGTAGCTATAATAATACTGACTCGTACAAAACACAGAGAAGTATAAAATCTGTAAAACTCACATTTTCATCCTCCTGAATTTCCAAGGTGTAGGTGATCACTTCCTCGGGTGAACAGCCTTCTGGCTTACTCCACTGCAACGTGACCCATGTGATGCCAGCTCGAACCAGCCTTGGTGCAGAAGGCATCTGAGGGATATTTCCTAATGTGTAGCACACCACCTCTTGGCTATAACCACTGTAGAGAAAGAAAGTGAGGCACACAGTTAGAAGCATGTGAAGAGGCTTGGCATTTTAAAAGAGGAAGGCTCAGCCTGCACACTACCCAACTCAGCCTAGCAGGTAGAGTAAGCAAAGCCAGGTAAGGATGCTGTGTGTGATATTCCCTATAACCACCTTCAGCTTCCCCATCCCCCCACCCCATGATCTTCTACTAGACACACACACCAAGTCACAGGACAATATACAGTTGGCCTTCTGTATCCTTGGGTTCTGCATCTTGAGTCCACGTGAATGAAGTGACGTGTGGGCATTATATTGGATATTATAAGCAAGTTAGAGAAGATTTAAGGAGAGAAGGATGTGTGTAGGTTATATGCAAAGACTATGCCATTTTATATCAGTGACTGGGGCATCCATAGATTTTGGTATTCATGGCAGGGAGGTGGGGGAAGTCCTGAAACCAATCCCCTGTGGAAACCAAAGGACAATTGTACTTAAGAATTCATTTTCCCCCCTCAAAAGCACTGGAAAGAAGGTATAGCACAAGGCAATGTTTATCAAGTTACGGGTCAAGGAGCCTTCAAATCAATGTGAGCAACAAATATTTGTTGATGAAATAATGTTTTACAATATATACAGTGCTGTTTTTCAAAAGTTTGTGGATGCTTCCAATTCATTTAAAAATTCTTGAGCCATAAAGGGCTTTGTGTCGGTATTTTTTCAACCAGTGAACTCTGAAGCTGTAATGGCTACCATGGTGGTGGAGGCAGGTCTGTAAAACTTTGTGATGTTAAAAAGAGGTTCTTTAGGTTGGAAAGAGGGTTGGGGACCACCGATGTGCAAAACCTTTAAGAAGATTTCAACAAGCAGTGATGAAAGAAAAAGATTTTTCCCTTAATGAAGAGTTACCCCCCAAGTGCAACTGAAACATGGCCTTTTCAAAGCCTCTTTAATCAATTGATACCTTACAGTACACCCGTTCTCGCCTTTCTCATACAGCCTAGAGGCCTGCAGAGGCCTCTAAGACAGTCCAGGTTTTCTCCAATTCCGTATCTGCCCTGGGCTTGACAACAATGGCTGGCCCAGCATCTCTTTCTTTGTACCAGGAAACACTCACATAATTGAAAAAAGGCAAGTGAATGAAGAGCTTGCTAAAGTGATAAAAGAAAAAGGCATGTGATCTAAAAAATTAAAGCTCCAAGAGGAATTCCTTTCAAGATCTGTACTGCTACCTTCACCTTGGTTCTTAGAGACCCCTAGTGGGGCCTTCGCAATACAGCTTGCAAGACTGCAGAGGCCATAGTGACATTCACCAGCTTAAAGGAGGCCTTCTCTCCTCTGATTAGGATTCCCTCTTGGAAAACCTCCAGTTGATTTAGTGTGGAGGCAGCAGGCTTCCTCATGCCTTCCAGCTATGTAAAAGAAGGCTCAGGATCACCATCCAAAGGCTGAAGGGCAAGAGGACAAGGAAACGTCATACCTGGTACCAATGTCGTTTCGAGCGGCCAGCCTGAATGTGTACCCCATTGCCGGACAAAGCTTTGTCAACTTGCAGTGCTTCTGGCTCCCGAAGAAGCACTGTCTGAAACCACTATTTCTTTTTCCCTAAAAGTAAACAATGAAACAATGCATATACTTAAAAAAAAAAAAACAACAGATAACCCTAAATAAATGAAGGAGCATCTTGAACATCTTGAATAACTGCTTAATTTCCTAGTTTGAATGAACAAAAACAATAGAAACTTACAGGGAAGTGTCCATGTTGCAAATAAAGCATTCTACAATGAAATCTCATCTCTAACATAAAGGCACTACAGAAAATTCTGTAATTGAGACAGGTAATTTACTGTACCTGTGGTTTTTTTGGTTAATAAAATAAAAAAAGGTCCTTTCAGGCACAAGACGATGCTCCAGTTAACGATCACAATTTCTAAGATCCTCCTCCTTACTTAGATTGGCCCAAACTGCCCAGCCTGATCAACCAAGAGTCTACTGCATCCACAGAGGGGTCACTGGCTCTGAAAATACACAGCCTTTCCCAGTAACTCCTGAGCACCTACAGACCCGTCTCTGCAGCTGAGTGTGCCATACAAGGCCCTCTCCAGCTGTATCTTTCTTGCCATGCAGTGGCCTCCAATACCTTCACAAGTACATTCTAGTGATGGTGTTTCTTCACTGATTGCTGCTACTGGTCACAAACCTTTGAATCATTTTGTCCACGTCTGCTTTGCTCATAACAGTGCTTTGGACAAACTGGGAGCTCAATCAATGCTTGCAGGGTGGAAGTGAATGATAAGCACTTGGAACATTGGTTGAATTAATCTATGTATATTACAGTCACTCTAAGTTTCTTGTCAGGCTAGAAATGTATTTTGAATGCCTTCCTAGCCTTATGTGATACTTCAAATTCGTTAAAGTAAAAATAAAACACTCTAGTGGGGTCTCGTATTAGGTTCAACAAGTAAGGAAAAAGTCTAACCGCCCTATGCCACACTCACAGGCATGTAATACTCTTATCAGTAGTTTGTTAGAATATTTCCTACCCATATCCACATTATCTTACTATCTTATCCATGTTCATGCAAAAGAAAACCATAAGCTAACATTGAGTGGATCTTAGCATTCTAACTGGACAGGCCCAGGGCCTTGAGCAATGTGTCTGAAGTTCTCAATTTATTTCACAAAAAACAAAGCAAGCACATTTTTTACGTAAACAAATTTAAGCATCTCCTTCCTTTCAGCAGGTCTCCAAATACCACTAAAACACATTCCAGGTGGTTTTAATTAAAAATAAAATGAACACACCACTAGCCTGACTGTTGCTACGGTGAGCACATTAAAAACAACCACACTGGCCGGGCGCGGTGGCTCACGCCTGTAATCCCAGCACTTTGGGAGGTTGAGGCGGGCAGATCACGAGGTCAGGAGATCCAGACCATCCTGGCTAACACAGTGAAACCACATCTGTACTAAAAATACAAAAACAAAATTAGCCAGGCTTGGTGGCGGGTGCTGGTAGTCCCAGCTACTCAGGGGGCTGAGGAGGGAGAATGGCGTGAACCTGGGAGACGGAGCTCGCAGTGAGCCGAGATCGCGCCACTGCACTCCAGTGTGGGCGACAGAGTGAGATTCCGTCCTCCTGCCCCGCCCCGCCCCCCAAAAAAATCACACCACATTCATCCTCCTCAAAGGAACCCCTTCCCCACCCACCTCCTAGAGCCAGGAAGCACCTTTCCCAATGGAAGGGAGTGAGAGTTCTAACAGTCTTTAAGATTGAAAGTTCATTTTATCAAGGGTTCAAGGTGCATTCAGATGCAACTTGGTGGCCGAGTTGGGGGTGTGCAGCAAGTAAAGCCTGACATTTCTCAGTTGCTCCTTGAGTGAACTCACTATGTGGCTGGCATGTCACACACTATGCTTACTTCAACCTTGAGTGTTGAGGTTGAGGAAGATGATTTATTCAAATGCATACACTTGAATAATTACACCCAGCATCCGATCACACTCTATGGGAGCCCTGGTATGTGTCGTATCCATTTCAGGCTGTGGCATGATCTACCTTCTTTCCTCCTCTATTTCTGAACTCAGAGTAAGCAGTGCAAGAAAGGCCCATCCTGCCATGGCGGAAGCTCTCATCCCTTCCAAACCCCGTGTTGGCTCCCCTTTAATGCCTCATTTTTCCTATTTCTTTATTTGGTCTCCTTTCCCCTTTTCTTGTGCTTAGAACTGTAGCCAGTAAAAAAAAAGTCAGTGTTTCTTACTAGGTTAATTTGCTTTAATACAGTAGAAACCAGACTGTTTGTGGCTCAAACGAGAAAAAGACTGGGGAGGGTTCGAAGGGGAGAAATGACTTTTAAGAGAGCCAGAGCACTCACGCTCACTAAAGAATTAGGAGAAGGGGAACTGTGTGACCTTCAAGACATCTTCCTATATTGCTAACATTTAAAAAAATTCTACTTGTGAAAGAAGTAAAAATGGCGCCAGTGCACTCCAGCCTGGGCGACAGAACAAGACTCCATCTCAAAAACAAACAAACAAAACATAAATCTTGGAGTCAGGACCAATTGTTAAAATCAGGAACAACTGCTATATAAACTACAACCCATATAGACAAAGCATGCCGAATTTTCTATCATAACAACTTCCAGGATGTACTACTATGTGCATAAACTTAGGGACACCTAGAAAGATCCAGAGTTGTTAAAACCCTGGAATTCAGTTTTGGAAGCATTGTCTGTAGAGTCTGTAGAGGTAAGAATACAAATATTTGACAGTTAAAAGAATTAAGGCTTATTGATGAATTTTTAGAAGTCATTGAGAATAAAACAAAAACAAGGGAAAGTAGGTTAAAATATTTCAGACATGAGAGAAGTTTTGAATAAAAGAACATATTCATGTATAACATGAAGTTTAATACAAAAGGCATATCTGGGCGGGGTGTGATGGCTCACGCCTGTAATCCCAACACTTTGGGAGGCTGAGGGAGGTGGATCACTTGAGGTCAGGAGTTCGAAACCAGCCTGGCCAACATGGTGAAACACCGTCTCTACTAAAAATACAAAGACATTACCCAGGCGTGGTGGTAGACGCCTGTAATCCCAGCTACTTGGGAGGCTGAGGCAGGAGAATTGCTTGAACCCGGGAGGCAGAGGTTGCAGTGAGTCGAGATCACGCCACTGCACTCCAGCCTGGGTGACAGAACGAGACTCTGTCTCTAATATAAAATAAAATAAAATGCATATCTGGAAAGAAAAAAATTAATGTTCACAAAAGTCACTGCAGTACAAAAAGTGATCTGCAGCTGAGAAGTTAACAAGTGAACTGGAGAAGGCCACTGGCTCCAGTGATCCGATGCCAGCGTGCTGGTCTGTCTACTGCGCCAGGCTCTCCGACGGCTCTGGAGCTTAAGCATTAGAGTAGAGTAAGTCCGTGTTCAAAGGCATAGAAGATTTGGAGAATCTGTTCATAAAACAAGATGGGTCCCAGGTTGCAAATAGCATTTATAAACAAAACATTTTCCTGTTCTTGTTGACAGAAATGGAGTTAAAAAAGAAAAGAGCTAATGCTTTAGAGGACTGAAAGATTCATACGAACTGACAGGAGTGATAAAGTGAATGTTTATCATTGTTTATCAGAAGTTAAATATATCCAAATCATTCCTGTCAGTGAAGTTTTAGAGATGGTAAATGACAACTTTCATATTTTATATGCTGTGTGGCTCCCAGAGATTTTGAGAGATTATAATCTATGGCACGTTCCCGCCTTTAAAAAATCTAATTTAGACTACACAGGATTACTGAGATACGCTGACTTGACTTCGGAAACTTAGTTGTTAATAATTTAAATTCAGCCTTGTTCAAAGTTCCCTACTAAAATATGGCTGCAGTAGAAATGGGTAACATCCTGACACTTTTCAGACCTGTTGTCATCAATGATCTGGTCACACACAGGCAGCAGGGACAGCCATGACTTAGGCCTAATCCTGGCCAGCTACGGCTGCTAGGCCACTTGTGGTGTGTCACACAGAGGAGAGTAAGAGCTTTCAAAGGGGCTGCCAGGGCCTGGGAGTCAGCTGGTCCGCAGGGCTGAGGGAAGAGACTCCTAGCTGCACTCCGCTTCTCTGCGCGTTGGTGGGTCAGGTTCGCAGCACATGAGCAGTCAGGATCAGAACCTCTAAGGTGACACTGGAGTCCCTGTTCTCAGCGGGGTATGGAAAAGATACTTCACCTGAATTAGAGAAACTGGTCAGAGTGAACACCATTGATCATTCTGGAACAGACCTAGCCACTGGGCTACTGACCTCACTGGACATGAACCAATATAACCCCAGCCAGTTCTGGCCTAACTTTCTACTGCCAGTGTCTGTGAGCCAAAAAAAGGGCAGATTTTCAGGGTGCACTGGCTTGTTTCCATTTTGCAACCTTGGGCATGCCCAAATGCTTGTTTCTGCAGCTCAGACCAAGTTCATTCAAGGGCAAGGTTAATCTTTCTTTACTACAATGTGAAGAAATCTTGGAGTACAAACCAACTGTGTGCAGACAAACCTTGAGGTGCTCAATCTGGCGCAGGATGACGCATTGCAAACGTGGGTTGTTTCCTTTCCCAAGCTGAGTGTTCCTCTTCGCACTCAACCTAATTCACAGTTGTTGCTTATCTATCTTCATTCCACACCCAGACCTAGCCTGAGAGCACCAATTCATCACCCTGGGGTAATGTTTTCCAACCAGGGACGAGGGTGTTTTGTCTACCACTTCTGGTCAAAACTGCTCTCCAGGAAAGGACTTGGCTCGCCAGTAAGTCGACTCATATTCACAGCATGCATCAGATCAGCCCTTCCCAAGCCTGGGAAGGGAGAAAGGGCTTTGCCTCTTTCTCCTTTCCAATCATCAAACAAAAATACATTGGGTATTATCCACATTCTAGACACCACTGGATCATCTTACTCTATGTTCCGTCCAGTGTGCCTTGCGCAAACCTGTCCCCTGATGTCATCATAACTCTTACCACAGAGTTCACCTGCCCTAAGCTGGACACCTCATTTATCTGAACCTGGGTAAGTGCCTCTTTCATTTCAAGATTCACATACTAAAGGAAGTCATCACCTTTGGGGGGAAGTCCCAGCCTAGTAACGCTTAGAATACTACATACTCTATGAGCACCTGCCTCCCCTTTGCTTCATCCTCATCCTCACTCACTTTTTAGAAGGGTCATGCATTTTTGGTTTCAAGTCCTAATTAATAATGGGAGTCTAGATATTGTTCTTGTTCCTACAGGGTCCTGCTAAATTCTGAAGAATGGCAATAACCTCCAACTTTTTGCCAGACTATGAAAGGCCCCAAACACAGAAAAAAAGGGGCAAGAGAAGGGAGCTTGGAGAGTATATAAAAAGCACTATGTGGCTACATAGCAGAGAATGATCAACCCCTGAAAACATCTCCAAGATGTGATTATAATCTCCAGGACAAAGACTTTTTCTTTTTCCCCCCACAAGGGAGAAATACTGTTTCCAAATATTCTACTTTTTGTGTGTGTGTGTGAGAGACAAGGTGTCTCACTCTGTTGTTCAGGCTAGAGAGCAGTGGTACAAACAGACCATAGCTCACTGTAGCCTCAAACTGCTGGACTCAAGGGATTCTCCTTCTCAGCCTCCTGAGTAGCTAAGATTATAGGCATGCACCACCACACCTGGCTAAATTTTCAATTTTTTTCTTTTTGGTAGAGATGGGCTGATCTCGAACCCCTGGCCTCAAGCTATCCTTCCACCTGAACTAGGCTTCCCAAAGTGCTGGGATCATAGGTGTGAGCTACCATGTCCAGCTCTGCCATTCTCCAAAATGAAATTTGGAGATAAATTATAAATATAAAATATTTTGAATATTTTAAGGAACATCTTTATTTTTTCTTTTACCCCCTTACTACCTACTTGAATATTTTTCAATTTCTTTCAAATTTGTAGTTAAAAAACAAAAACTGTCTGTTAAAGATTTTAAATACATTTATATTCCCTGCAAACAAACAAACAAACAAAAACTAAAACACTTTGCTGCACTATCATGAGTCACCTGAGGGAACAGAATACACGATCCTGCTTTTCAAGTACAACTGAGGCAGAGACATTAACTGGAGATAAACAGTCTGTTTGGGTTCCCTGCCCTTATCACTAAGGGAGCAGGCAGAGTGATCTCTTCCATCTGCTAGCTGAGAAGATTGGTATTTGAGAGCCACTGAGGCATGTCTCACTGGCTGGCTGAGTAGCACTGGCTATGAGGTATGAGGTCCATCCTGTCACTGTATTTCTGGGTACACATTTGCCCCCACTCTCCCTGTCTCCAGAATACTCAGAAAAGAATCAGGGATGGGAAAAAGAGTTACGTTGTACTTTTAAAGTATATGACCTTATATCTAACAGTCTTAGGTTATAGTACCTAAAAAACTGTATGTGCTATACAAAGATAAAGAAAAAAATATTTGTTAATGGTTTCTCAGGACCAAAAGGAGACAAGAGAAGGCTTATACCACAAGTGGTTACTTTAAACATGTCTAAAAATTCTGTGATTCCCTATCCATTGAGAAACAAAGTCTAAGTCTATGTCCCTTTCCCTTGAATGCGGGTGGTCTTGTGACTCTCTTGTAACCAAAAGGCTGGAGTGGAAATGAAGCCAAGGCTGGGTGTGGAAAGGTGTTACAGCTTCTAACTTTTGCTGGGACACCTGATTTTCGATTCTCACTACCCTGAAGCTGCCACGCTGTGTGGGAACCCCAGGCCATGTGAAGAGCCCCAGATAGGTCCAGTCCAAAGTGAGCACTGATGCTAGACTTGTGAGTGAAAACACTGCCAGAAGATTATTCCAGTCCCCAGCCAATGAGCCCTCCTCGCTGAAACTCTAGATATGATAGAGCACAGAGATGCCACTCCCCAGTGCCCTGTCCAAATCCCTAACCCAGAGTCCACAAGCATAAGAAAGTGATTGTTTGAAGCCTCTAAGTTTTGGGGTAATTTGTTATGCAATATTACACTCATCTATTTTGAAGTCTATATACGTTTATAGCATGAAGTTTTACCCCTCTGAATTTCTGCAAACTTTTATAAATTCCTCCTACACTGTAAACAGCTAGAAGGTGGGGGAATGTAATGTGCATGCTAGCATACAAAATAAATGTCTGGCTGGGCATGGTGGCTCACGCCTGTAATCCCGGCACTTTGGGAGGCCGAGGCGGGTGGATCACCTGAGGTCAGGAGTTTGAGACCAGCCTGGCCAATATGGTGAAACCCCATCTCTACTAAAAAAAATTTATAAAAAATAAATAAATAATAAACATAAAAAAATAAAAATACAAAAATACAATAATTAGCCGGGTGTGGTGGTGCATGCCTGTAATCCCAGCTACTCAGGAGGCTGAGGCAGGAGAATTGCTTGCACCCGGGAGGCAGACGCTGTAGTGAGCCGAGACTGTGCCACTGCACTCCAGCCTGGGCAACAGAGCAAGACCCTGTCTCAAAACAAAACAAAACAAAACAAAAACAAAAGCAAAATAAATGTGTAACATATGATGGGTCCTATTTTCTACATGCACTTAGTACATGCCTTTTCTTTCAAAGCCATCCACCAAAGTAAGGACCTCTCTGAATAATTTTAAAAGTTATTTTTGTATAAGCTAAAAATAGAACCAGACTCCTAGACGATAAAGATCAACCAAAATTGCCAATCAACAGCTATGCAGTTACTTCATCTTACAGAATCACATTTTAGATTGAAATAAGACTTTTAATAATGCTATCCCAAACTTAGAGAACTCTTGGGAGATTTTTAAATCCAGACACGCAATGGTCTCTAGGGGACAGTTTAGGTATGACATAGCCTAAAACCACAGGAGTCAACAAAGAAAAGAACATTTCAAAGGACTTCCTCATGTAACCAGCTTTCCACCTCTCTCTCTGGGTATCTGTTTACAAACATACAAGAGTTCCAGTGAAGAAACAAATTTACAGATGGTCTACCTACTTGAAAACTGGCAGCTAAGTATATAAAAAGTATTTGATTAAGATCATAAAATGCAACTAATATTTAGAGTATGTTTAAAAATATATTTGTTGTGTTGATTTGTAAAAGTGTGTAGTTGAAAGACTGAAAACAACAACAAAAGAACTTTTTCAAGTTAATTTTTCTTCTTTACTAACTTAGTATCCTCATAAAGCTTTCCTCAGTACTTGGGAAGATGAATCCTCTAAATGGGCTGGTTTCCCATTAAGGAACACAACTCATGGCTCATTCTATACATGTAACTCACACACATCCCAATTAATTCAGGCTACAGTGTTTTCCTGCCAGTGTAATTCTGTAGACTGTGGGGGCTGTGGCTGCCCTGACTAACATTTCTAATTACCCTGGCACTAACAACACTAGAAGTGGGTATTTCCAACACCGCTGGCACTAACAGATGAAGCTGGCTGATATTTTCAACTGCTTTTAAATTAATAGATTGGAAACGATACTTCCTGTTCCTCTTTATAACTGCTTCATTCCTGGCACAAGATTAAGAATGGCCAACACAAGGATGCTGGAATTCATGGTGAACTTTCTCCCTTTGGTCTTGTGACTTACTCCTCCTGATGTTTTCTTGATGTGTGGTATCTTTCCACTGTCCTCCTTCTCTTTCAGATTTTTTTGTTTTTTTTGAGTCAGAGTCTCACCCTGTCACCCAGGCTGGAGTGCAGTGGAATGATCTCGGCTCACCTCAACCTCCGCCTCCCAGGTTCAAGCGATTCTCCTGCCTCAGCCTCCCAAGCAACTGGGATTACAGGAGTGCGCCACCATGCCCGGCTAATTTTTGTATTTTTAGTAGAGACAGGGTTTCACCATGTTGGTCAGGCTGGTCTCAAACTCCTGACCTCAGGTGATCCACCTGCCTCGGCCTCCCAAAGTACTGGGGTTACAGGTGTCAGCCACTGAGCCCGGCCTCTTTCAGATTCTTCCACAGCCATGCCTGCTGCCTTCCTGAGCTGCTCTTACCAGGTTTGATGACTGTCTGCTAAATAAGTTCCATGAATTTGGTTATCAGTTGTCACGTGCTTGTGGCCCATGGCTGCTGAATCCAGACATGGGCTGAAGGATTCTGGGCTGGCCATTCTCTGTTAATAGTATAGTTCAACCTGTCAGAAACGGCAACAATACATAAAAAATAAAGTTGCACTGGCCAACTGAACTACGGCCAGACTCTAAGATTTAGTCTGCTAGAGTGTCTATATTTAGAAGCTGTTCCAGCACCGGCTGATCCTAGGCAACATCAAAGACCAATGTTGGCTTCAGAAATAAAAGAGCACGTATGTGTTCAGCATAACCATATATAAGAGGCTCCTAACAGGGAGGGAGGGACACTCTGCATTTGGGTGGACTCAGAAGTTCCTCGTGCCAAACCCCACTCTTCCCCCAGGGACGCCTCTTTCATTTTATTGCACGCTCTGGCACAGAGGATGTTTCAAAGGTAAGAAAAGTGGGTGGGATGATTTGTGGTTCCATGTTACCAAATAAACAGGGAGGCATTTTATCCCTCAGCACACTAGCTTTTCTGTAAGAGGGGAGGCTTGGCTGCCTGAAATAGCCAAGGATGATCACTAGGTCTTCTGGTTTAAACAAACACACAAAGAAAATTTTCCTATGTATTTCTCCAAATATTGAGGTTCATCTGTTTTCAAATGCTTTGAGAGGATCGATGTGTTAAGACTGTCTCAGGGAAGGGGGAGCAAGGGAGCCGAGGGCCTAATTTCAGAACAGACTGTTAGTACAATTTACAAATGAACCAAGGGATGGATGGGGTTGGTCCATCCACCTAGTGAAGGCCCAAGGCAGTCTTCTTCCAGCTCACGATGAGAAGCCATGACAAAGGCGAGTTGATAAATCAGGTGTCAGGAACCAAGAGGAGATTTATAATTTAGCCTCAGCAAGAAGCTCCACATCAAGTTTGCTTCCCAAACACACAACCTCATCATGTACACATGCGAGAAATGGTAAAAGAGAGAAGGCAGAGAATCTGCTACAGGTGTGTGGATCTCTGAGACTGAGGTCCCTAAAAGAGGGGGCTCCTTTTAATCATGAAGTGGCACCTAAAGATGCCTCTGAGTTATTCAATCCTTCCTGGCTTAGTTTCCTTCAATAGCAGCTATAGTGGGGCAGCAATTCTCTTGGCTTTCTGAAACAACCGTAAGACATGGCAGTGGGCACTCATGTGAAAGATGGTCTCTGATGGACAGAGCCAAAATGAACTTAGAACCCCACTTTCCAATCCCCACAGTTGCCAAGAATGACCAAAGTGCATGTGGGCCTGGGCAGGGGAATGAAAGCTGACCTTCCTGGCTTTTGTCATGAAACCAACCAACACACTGTCCACCCTAAGGCAGTGTGGCACCTTAGAGAGCTGGAGTCAAGCAAATTCTCAGGGGGCTCTCTTCATCCATGCTGTGGGACCTAGTTAATTACTGTGCTTGTAGCTGCTCCATTCCCTTCATTCTCAGAACAGTTGTTATCTAACCAGAAAAGGTTTGTGCAAATTCACTCAGAAGGATTATGAGAGATCATCCATATGAACTATTCAACACTTGAGCTAAGCAGGAGTCTGATTAATTGATCTCTTACTGATTATCTTCTACGGGGCCAACTCAATCCCTAAACAAGGCTCCTCCTGAATGATACAGAAGTCCAAGAAGCTGCAATCTGGGGCTGGCCACCTGCTTCAGGAGGTTTCTGTGACAGGACTGCTGGGCCTGCCTGGCCTGGCCTGACCTGCTAATGGCTCCCCAGGGGCATGGGTTCTACCGGCTGCTGGCCTTTTCTCCTCTCTCAACTTTTAATTATGCTTCCCCTGATTTCTGTGGCATCTGTTTCATTCTTAGTCCACTGTGTTTTACAGCTGTGTTGGCTCATTAGTCACCAGGGAAACCAAATGTGAACTTCCTTTTGGGCTAGCTGAGTCATGAGTAAGGAAGGTTTTTGGGAACTCCAGTAGTCACATTCCCACAAAGCTCTTTTTCTGGTTATTCTGTGTATCCAGATGTGAACTTCCTTTTGGGCTAGCTGGGTCACAAGTGAGGAAGGTTTTTGGGGACTCCAGTAGTCACATTCCCACAAAGTGCTTTTTCTGGTTATTCTGTGCCCTGCATGTCATGTCCAGAAGTTAGGCTAATAGCAAGTTAACATCCATCGATAGCACTAACATCAGTTTTTATTTAGTTCAAACAAGTGACATAAACCTCAGGGCTCTTGTTTAAGTTCCTGACAGAAGAATGTCATATTCCTTATACATGATTGTTCTAATTGTTGACTGTCCCTATCTCAGATCTTAGCATCTGCTTAGGTAAACTTATATCAACAATATGGAACAATCGTTACACTGAATCGGCTGTTGTCCAACTTATCTCATTCAGTCTTACGTACCCGTGAGATAACTGACACTGTTTTTCCAGTGGAAAGGCCGAGGCTAAGGCGTTAAATTACCTGCTTGGGGTATACCATGAGTAACTAGAAACTGTTATGGTTTGAATGTGTCCCCCATGTTTATGTGTTAGAAAATTAATCCCCGGCCGGGCGTGGTGGCTCACGCCTGTAATCCCAGCACTTTGGGAGGCCGAGGCAGGCGGATCACGAGGTCAGGAGATCGAGACCATGCTGGCTAACATGGTGAAACCCCGTCTCTATTAAAAATACAAAAAAATTAGCTGGGCGTGGTGGCAGGCGCCTGTAGTCCCAGTTACTCGGGAGGCTGAGGCAGGAGAAAGGCGTGAACCCGGGAGGCAGACGTTGCAGTGAGCTGAGATCGCACCACTGCACTCCAGCCTGGGCGACAGAGCAAGACTCTGTCTCAAAAAAAAAAAAGAAAAAAAGAAAAAGAAAATTAATCCCCAATGCAACATGTTGAGAGGTGGTCATTTTTTTTTCCTTGAAAAGGTGATTAGGTCACAAGGGCTCTATCCTCACAAATGCATTGCCATTTTGACAGGAGTGAGTTTGTTATCACAGGAGTGGGTTCCTGATAAAAAGACGAGTTTGGTTCCCTTCCCTCTCTCACGCTTGCGCTGTCTTGCCCTCCTGTCTTCTATTATGGGAGGACACAGCAAGAAGGCCCTTGCCAGATACAAGTCCTTGACCTTGAACTTCCCAGCTTGCAGAACTGTAAGAAATACATCTCTGTTCTTTATAAAGTAACCAGTCTCAGGTATTCTGTTACAGCAGCACAAAATGGATGAAGACAGAGACAAAGCTGAGACGATTAATTCAGGTTTCTTTAGATAAACATCATATCATTGATATATATCATCAATATGAATCCATGCCACATATTCATAGCAAGATCTTAGGTGACCTGTATTTGTTCTGACAGCTGCAGCAGCACCAGTTAGTGTTCTGTATGGTTCAAATTAAAACAATATCTTAAGGCAGAACTTAAAACAAGCCAACTTTGCATAAATACTTTCTTTATGTAACTAATTTTTTCTAAAATAAAAAGTTCTTATTTGCCCATTAAAATTCACTCCTTTACTCAAGTTTTCAAGAATAAGGCCAGATCACGATCTGTTTAGGAACATTAAAACAGACTGGGCAGACATTTATGAATGACTCAACCCAGAGGTTCCTAGTTTTTTTTTTCCTAAAAGCCCTTCCCTAACCTAGAGCCCTCTATATCCTCAATCCTTCTCCCATAGCTTCTTCTAGAGAAAAACTCCCACCTCTGCTAGATAGTGATATGTCATCAAGAAAAGAAGCAGGGCTGGGCATGGTGGCTCACACCTGTAATCCCAGCACTTTGGGAAACTGAGCTGGGTGATCACCTGAGGTCAGGAGTTGGAGACCATCCTGGCCAACATGGTGAAACATACTAAAAATATAAAAATTAGCTGGGTGTGGTGGCAGACGCCTGTAATCTCAGCTGCTCGAGTGGCCGAGGCAGGGGAATCGCTTGAACCTGAGAGACAGAGGTTGCAGTGAGCTGAGATTGTGCCGTTGCACTCCAGCCTGGGCAACAAGAGTAAAACTCCATCTCAAAAAAAAAAAAAAAAAAAAAAAAGAAGAAGAAAGAAGAAGGAAAAGAGAAGCAATGCAGGGTCAATGTAGCTTGGAAGGGTGCCCAAAAAAGATGGGCAGTCAAAGGGATTAGTGTGGGTGCGGCCAACGGGTATAGTGTCTCAAGCATGGTGTCCGCCTTCCCCCTCTCACTGACTCTCCATTGTGGAAAGAACCTATACCTTGAAAAATCTAGCATCTAGTCATTGTTTTGCTGTTAACCAAGCTCCTTTTTAGGAGCTTCTGATCTGCTTTCTGCTACCCATCAGAATGACAAGTGCTTGTAGATTAAAGTGTAAACACGGGGGCGGGGACACTGAAATAAAAATGTGATGTGACTCATCTAACGTTCAAGTGAAAAAGACTTGAAAATGACCTTCTGCCTTTCTGCTCCTAATGGGGTGTCTCCTGAAGGAGGAAAGCGGCTAAAAATCTACAAAAATGCGGGGTCAGTTATTAAACCCCATGGCTCTAAACACTAAAGCTCACGAGTCACCACAAGGGAACTTGGCAAGGAATGGCCACACCTTCTCAAGTAATAAAAACTGACCTGTTTCAGGTGAAAATCGAAACTGAAGGCCACAGCTGAAAAGCCAATGACACCTGTAAATTCCTTTTTTTTCTTTTCAGAGACAAGTCTCGCTCTGTCGCCCAGGCTGGAGCGCAGTGGTGCAATCTTGGCTCACTGCAACCTCTGCTTCCCGGGTTCTAGCAATTCTCCTGCCTCAGCCTCCCAAGTAGCTGGGACTATAGGCGCCCACTGTCATGCCCAGCTAATTTTTTGTATTTTAGTAGAGACGAGGTTTCACCGTGTTGCCCAGGCTGGTCTCGAACTCCTGAGCTCAGGCAATCCACCCGTCTGGGCCTCCCAAAGTGCTAGGATTACAGGCGTGAGCCACCGCGCCCGGCTGTAAATTCCGTTTTTAGCTGCTAATTACCATTTCATAGTCATAGTAACTTCTTGTATTGATTTAAAAATTAAGATGTTGTCTAGTTAGTTATTAATGGAGAAATAACAGGCAGTTAACCCTAGTATAGAACTATTAATGAGTAATTTCCAAGTGAATTCTATGCTACAGTGATGCAAAATTAATGACAGTGAATTTAAGAGAGGAGAGATGGTGGATCAGATTTCCCCTGTACTGTAATGCGTTTCTGTTTTCTGCTCCCCATTAGGGTTCCACCTGCCCTTGTACTTCAGAGCCCAG
Source organism: Homo sapiens (assembly GCF_000001405.40). Classification (NCBI taxonomy): domain Eukaryota; kingdom Metazoa; phylum Chordata; class Mammalia; order Primates; family Hominidae; genus Homo; species Homo sapiens. The sequence continues at coordinate 172,314,796 of NC_000003.12, read as the reverse complement.
CATATAGTTAGCTGCTGATTAAGGTGGATCTTCCCATGAAGGTCAACTCGGCACAGCATTCCTAATCTCAGCAGAAATAAAGGCTGCTGCTCTTTTTCCATGCAAGTCTTTTTTTAAGAGGCTTGAAAGCTGGGCTTGATGCCCTGTCTTCTTGTTTAACCAACACTTTCAAAATTTTACTCTACTCATTTTATTGCAAAGGTGATTACAAACAACAAAAGACTAAAGTATTCTGGAACTCTAATCCATGCTGTTATACTGTAATAAAAATATGGGGCTGCAGGGGATACCTGGACATTAGTGGTTGCATATATGGAGATGAGGCAACCTCACCTCAAAGTCATGATTCTCAGACCAGGTGCCAGAGCAGAGACAGGGAAGAGTGCTATGCCTGAACACAACCTTCTTCAAGACTCTGAGCAGCACTGTCTCACTCTCAGGCAGTGATTTGTGTCTCTGTGCACCTCAAAAACTTTCTGCAATCTAAGTTTGTTTCTTCAGCCCCCTGGATGGCAGACAGGTTTATGGGTGTGTGGCTGGAGCAGATATCCTTGAAGAGGAGAGGAGGGGAGAGCTGTGGCTCTTAGAGAGGGGAGGGGTGGGGAAAGGGTGATTCCAGCAAAACATCCACTTCCCATTCTCCTGCCTCACTGCCTTCTATTAAGGCAGAGTCTGGAAACAGTCCTGGTACCAAAGAGATGCACCTGGCTGTAGAAACTACCAGCAGAAGGATTCAGAGGGATGGCCAGAGCCTTATGTGTTCACACTTCCTACAGACCAGATGCCGTTCTCCTGTTTCCTTCTTGAAGCTAAGGCCTGTATAGCATAGGAATGTGGGACCCAAAGACCAACCCAAGTGAGCTACTCTCAAGAGTGCTACTGATCCTCAACTTAGCTCTAAATTTAGAAACACAGACTGCCAGACTGTTCTGTCAGAAACTTCACTTCTGAAATGACAGGATGGGCAGGAATGAACTTGTTACTACTGCTTGAATTCTCATTGCCAGGAAACCCGATAGCACCATTTTTTCATCTTTATAAGGGGATGGGAAATGAGAGGGGTATAATACAAAGCAAAGAAGCTACTGGACAGAACAATTTGAGAAGCATATGGCAACGTGTTTTATTTGTGTCTGCTTAAAAGCACAAGAGGATAGGCGTACGTTTGCTTTTTCAGCTATCACAGCTATCACAGTTATCTTTACTACGTCACAGATCCCTCACAGGACAATGTGCAATGTGGACTACTGAGGAGCACACTCCATAAATGCTGAAATAATTAATGAACAGTGAAAATGATTCCAAATATTCTCTTGTCAGAAGAGACAATCCTAAATAATCTGTTTTGTGAGAGCATAAATAATGTAAATGCACACAAGCTGGTGAACTAATCTATTCACCATTTCACAGATGGAAAAAACTAAGGACCAGAGAGGTCAAGCTGCCCAGCATAAAACTCAGAACAGAACCCATATTTCCTAATCTTGGTGTTCCTTCAATTATCCTCTCCTGCCAGGAAGCTCGTTGCACCCAAAGGCAAGGGAGTGCCTTAGAATTGAGGGGGCAGGAGATGTCTAGAAAGTGGACATGAAGCCACAGAATGTAAAAGGATTCCTGTGTTGGCAAAAGATCCATGGTGGATGAGAGTCGATTAACCTGGAATCTTCAGCAAAGCTCAACAGAGCTGATACCAGCAGGAATTTGAAGGTGGGAGAGAAAAAGGGGAAAGAAGAGGGAAGGGAATTAAGAAAAGTGAGAGGAAAAGCTGGAAGGAGATCAAGTAGGAGAAAGGTAGAGGGCAAAACTCAGCCATTTAACATTTTTTGACCGCTAGCCTGTAATGGACCATGCTGAACATAAAAAGTCATCAGACGTGGCCTGTCCTGTTTCAGCAGAGGCTGTGGCATCCTTCCTCTCAGCATCATCAGCTACGACACTCTCACTTCAAATTCTAAGGGAAGGGATGAGGAACTGAGCAATGGTAACTGAGTTACCATTTCCTGCAGCACCCGAGTTTTCTTTGGAGGTTTCCCACTGAGGTATGTATTCAACTTTTTTGGCCTTCCTTAACTTAGGAACTCACGGTCTTAGGCAGAGAAGCAGTAAAAAAACACAGGATTCATATGCATGCACGAGTGTGTGCATGCACGCACGCACATACACACACAGTGCCCTAAGAAGATAACTGAAAAAAAAAATGCCTTTTCTGTACTGGTGAACCTCGAGACATGAGAAAAAACAAGGTGAGTGCAACAAATCAACATATAAAAAGAGACTTTCATTAAACGGTCACCTGTCCTTACAAAGAGGAAGAGATGGGAAGATGTTACTATATGCTCACAGGTCATTCGAGTTTCTTTCCAACATTCCTGACTGACTATAAAAACCTCTAAGGGCTGGAGAGGTGGTTTCACTTTCTAATTAACCACCTTAAAATGAAATCCACCTAATCTGTAGAATGTACGGGTTAAGGCTGAGATTTTACCAACCTGCATGTACAAGCTATTCGAAACGATCCTAAGAACAACAGACGGTTGTTCTGGGTAACTTGGAACTCTAGCTGTTCAGATGCAACCCAGATGGGAAAATATGCTTCTGCAGAAAGTGATGACGGACCTCTCTTTCACATCAAAATTTCATCATGGGAATTCCATCCAGTTTTCATTTTACATTTGGTTAAAATATTTTTCCATACTTGCCAAGTCATTTTTTGCCTAAGTTCTAAATCTTTCAATCTCTCCAAATTTAAGTCACGAAGGCTAGCTAACTTGCATTTCTCCCCAAATTCCACATTTCTTATTCTTAAAATCCTTAGCCAATTTCTCAACCAGAGAAAGCATAAAGTGGGGGCAAATGAATAAATACAATTAAGATCTACAGGAACAAAAAGTACAGTTGCTTTTTTTTTTTTTTCTTTTTGAGACGGAGTCTTGCTCTGTCGCCCAGGCTAGAGTGCAGTGGTGCGATCTCGGCTCACTGCAAGCTCTGCCTCCTGGGTTCACAGCATTCTCCTGCCTCAGCCTCCCGAGTAGCTGGGACTACAGGCGCCCGCCACTACGCCCGGCTAATTTTTTTTTTTTTTTTTTGTATTTTTAGTAGAGACGGTGTTTCATCGTGTTAGCCAGGATGGTCTTGATCTCCTGACCTCGTGATCCACCTGCCTTGGCCTCCCAAAGTGCTGGGATTACAGGCGTGAGTCATCGCGCCCGACCTACAGTTGCTTTTTAGAAATGAAAGGCTTCTAGGTCAAGTGTTTCCTGCCTGAGATTCTGTGTGTAGAGTTAGCTAGGCCAGAAATGCACTGGGTCCACCAGTTGGCACACAGTGGCTTTGAGAATAAGGACACTCCACCGTAGATACCTTCCAAGGGCCTCTGGTGACATGAACAGCAAGGGGGGCATCCGATACAGGACATTCTAACCCACAGGGCACTCGCACATGGGTAGAATGTGACTTCTATGTACTGCTCTGCTCTCACAGAGGCCACTCAACAGTGTAACACCAAAGTACATACATGGCATTCAAAAAGGAAAAGCAAATTATGCTTTCCAAGCGGCAGTGTGTTTTACCTTATCAAAATCATCTGAGCAGTCAAGATGACAAAGCAGTCAATTTTTAATACAAATTATTGGCTGGCTAGACACTGGAGATCCAAAATAGATAAGACCCCACTTTTTTTCTTTCAGCAGTAGTGCTTGCAAATAAGCCAGGTACATATATTTCAATACACAACTCATAATACTACTTCAATCTAACTTCATTTTCCATAGTCAATAACTATTGATTTAAATTTCTCTACTAGCATTCCTTTTTTCTGTGTTTAGCATGTCTTATAAAAGAATAAGATGGCATTTGTTCAGTTAATTTTGTTTTTGAAATGGTGTTTTAGATGGGTGAATATGAAAATAAGCTTACCTCATCCCACTCTAAAAGGTAGTTGGTGATTTTTGAACCGTTGTCAATTGGTGCCTAAAAAAAATAGTAACATGAGATTAGAGAAAGTTGTTCACAGACAAAACTTATGAGTTACCCACCTGGCTCACATACAGTGTCTATGATAGTCCTGTGCTCTCCCCTCAGGGGGATAAAGCTGATGGTTCCTGCGTTCCTTGGTCAATCATCATCATACACTAACTTTGACATACCTCAACAGTAGAGAGAGTCCCCACTATGAATAAATCATACTCCACAAATAGCCAAACCTACCTACCACCACCACCACCTCTCCCTTTTTACACCCTCATGGTACGCTACTTCCTCTGGGGATAGGACTTTGAAGAGGGACTTTGAATTCAAGCGTAGAGTGAGAACAAGGCAGCTGAGAAACACAGGCACTGCTGGAGGTCTGGTGGAGCACAGTCAAGCCTTTCTTTTTATAACATCCCACATACAGCTTTTTAATTTTTTAAAAGTACTTAAGATTAGAAAGCCATCAGCGACATTAAGGTTCCTCTTTTTAAAAAATGGGGAAAAAATGTGATCCTCTGGATAGATGACTAGAGGCTATTCATCCTTCATACGTTAGCAGAGGGAAGTTTCATCATTTGCTTTCCTCTTAAAAAGCATGCTGAGATCTGCTTCACTGAGAAAGTGGGTTTTTAACAATGGGAAGGGAAGTAAAGAACTCTGGAGAAAAGAATGCTTTTCAGGATTCCAAGAGCTACAGGTGATGCCGCAGTGGGGTCTCTTGGAGCATTAGGGTAGACAGATCTAGAGAGACAGTGGAACTACAAGTTGGGGGAAGCAACCAGGAAGAGGAGTCGGATCGTGTCTCCCACTTCAAAAACATGCCAGGGCCGACTCTTCCCTAGGAAAGAGCAAGAGCCTAACAAACAGCACAGTGCCTTACCCCTGGCAAAAGGCAGCTCAGCTTCCCCTGAGATGTATCTGAATCCTACCTTGGCTGTTTGTCGCATGTGGTCTGGTGCTAGCTGTTTAATATCAATATCAACAACTAATTTCATGTTCCAAGAATAGATAGGTATGATAAATAATTGGGAGAATATGTAAATCACCTACTAAACTACCCAGTTTTATAGGAAGCACTCAGTAAACAGTTGTTATTGCTCTATTATGGTTAGTAATAAAACCTCAGGGGCCCAGTAAATGGTAGTTAAATTAATAATGAAATTCTTCTCCCTCTCCTTCCCTTCCTTCTCTCTTTAGAGTCACACAATCTCTGAGTCCCAAAACTCGGATCTCAGGTGAGTGCTCTAAGTCCTAAACTGTTATTTTAGGCTCTTGCAGGCTCAATCTGGAGGAGAGGATAGTGATGCACTTAAAGTTATAAACAACTGACAAAATCAAAGTTCTCTAAGATGAGAACCCATCTCTAAGATGAGAACTCAAAAAAAAACTGTTCTTTGGTAGTTTCTTTGATGATATCCTACCCCACTACTAGTCCCTTAATTCCTTGAGGGTGGGTACACTGACTTAGGTTTTTGTTTTGCCTTATCTCCTGTGTAAGTAATAACTGTTGCTGACGAACAAAAAGATGTCAGATCTTTAGTGCTTTCAGCGTCTTTGTGGATTCAAGGACAGACTGGCAGCCAGAGAATGTTCCCCTGTCCTTGTGCCCCCACCTGGAGCACTTTGATCAGGGAATCTGTTCTAAGGACATTTAAATGAAAACTGAACTAAATCCAGAACTTTCAAGTTTGTACATGACTGAATGGAACAAGAGTATGTTTCTGATTTACAATTGAGGAAAGGGAGAAAGAAAATGTGAAACGTTTTCCTCCTAATAAGAAAATTCTTTCTTGAAGTTGCTGGTCTGCCTGAGACCTGAAATTCATCCAGGTTTTAAGCAGAGTATGCATCAGTGATTCCCAACTTTAGGTTTATAAGACCCCGGGATCCCTCAGGTCATCTAAAGATGAGTTCTTATATTTTCCAAACAAAATGGATTTTAATTCTTTCCTTACAAAGATATATTTACATATGTATGTGTAAATATAGAGCACATTTTTTAAATGGATGTGTATACTCTAAGGAATTAAACAATGATGCCAGTTGGGTGTTAAAACTCTGAAAAGGTGGGGAATCACTGACCTGGATTATCCCTGGAAGCCAGGAAGGAAAATAAAATAGTTCAGATTCTAAGCCAGTTTAAACTTTGCTTCTGTCCAAGTAACACACTCAATGCTGGCCACTGGCTATGAGAATGCAGCTGCCCACCTAAGAGGGATCAACTGAGGCCCATGCTTTGCTGCTAACCACTACTCTCAATTGCTTTCATCAGCTCCCTAGACCAACCTGACTCTCTGGGCCAGAAATGAAAAGATAAAATATTTCTTCACTAATAATGGATCTTCCTAGCCATTTTCTTTCTTTCACACATTACTATTCTCCCCCCAAACCCTAAATCTTTATCTCTACCTCCATCTATTTTACATTTTAAATTATATTTTAAAATATTGATGTAGAGAAATAACTGCTATAGAGATTGATAACAATCTACTGTTTTCTCACAAACACACAACTATGATTAACAAGCTAGTGATGCCTCTTGAGGAAGGGGCAATATGATCTCTCTTTGGTAACAGCTAATTTTAGCCAGTGAATTGTGTTTCATGAAAATATATAATTCAGTCTTTTTTTCTTAAATAATTAGTAATCCTGACTGGTGTATGGCCTAAGTAGTGAAACTTAATGAAGTACTAACATAGTTTAGATCACTAAATGTTCTAGGTTGTTTTATGTATTAAACATTTCAGTATCACCACTGAAATGTGCCAAAAGGGCCATAAAACTACTTTATCTCTGAATCTTTCTTGATAAAAACTTTTTGCTAAAGTCCTCAAATGTTTGTTGAAATGAGCTAGACTATTAGAAAGTGATAAGATGTAGGTATTTTAAGTACCTATATCACTTATACGTGTTGCTTATGACCTGAAGACATTTAGAAAATACTGCTGCAAAAAAAAGCTAAAGCTAGATTTTGCAGTTCCCTCCTCCCACCCCTTTGCCCAACTCTTACAGAAATGACAACTTTTGATATAACAGTTGGTTGCACATACTTACTATGCAGAAAACCAAACATATCACAAGACTGGAGTCGTGCTAAAAAATATTTCAAATGGCTATAGACTGACCTTATATTAACTCGAGACTCTTTCTCTGTTGCCCAGGGTGGAGTGCAGTGGCGTGATCATGGCTCACTGCAGCCTTGAAACTCCTGGGTTCAAGTGATCCCCCCTCCTCAGCCTCCCAGGTAGCTGGGACTAGGAACACGTTGCCACCACACCTGGCTAATTTTTAAATTGAGACGATTCTTGATGCTTTGAGCTACCCACCTTCCACTGCAGGGTTAGTGAACTTTTGCTCCTATGTGCCAGCTTAGGGGGGAAAGGACACTCGGGTGCACAGCTGTGGGTGGTGAAGCTAACAGGCTCGGAGCAGGATCCCTTTACGGAATTGTACATGGCATACACCCTGAAAACAAAACAGACACAGTCAGTGGCAGTGACTCATCATAGAAGACCAGGATTCTTATCTTTGTTTCACCCTAAGGCTTTCTGTAGATGAACAGAATTTCTTACGGAGTGAGTATCATGCTCTTGCTCTTATCTGTTGGTCTTGTCCTGACCTATGGTTAGCATTAACAGGGGACAGTCATCCCAACAGGTATTTGTCTCAGTGTGTGCCACCCAGCTCCATTTCAAGATAGGCAGGATCTACTGACTAGAAGAGATTATTCTAAGTAAGAAAATAAACCTTAACCCCAGAACGATCTCCAAATATATGTTCTAAAACCCCATGAGCTACTCTCTGGTTGACTTTATCTGGAAAAAGGCTAAGAGTTAAGAGCTGGATAAAAAGGCAAAAGAAACAGTAATAAGAGGTCACAGACTGGAGAGAAAGCATAAAAGTACAAACAGGGTAGATACCATCTTTGAACTACATTTAATACTGTACACATTTATGTAAAACTAGGGATGTTTCACAGAGAAGCTAACAAGTGTGACTTTCTCTAATTCCACAAAAACAATGTTCAGGTACAGTTTAATCCACGTGAATATTTAACTCTTATACATGAAGCCAAGATTAAAGATGTTCGGTCTGTACACTAAAATGTTTGGCTCAACACTGCAACATATGTGCTTGATTTCTCCAGAGAAGCCATGAAGAAAAAGCATAGAACATACTATTAATGCCACACTCTTCAAATAGCATAAAATAGGGCTATGCTGATTTTTATCATCTTCCTACTATTCCATTTTTTATACTGGGAATTTATTTTTTCAAAATTGAAAATGTACTCTTAAAAAACAACAACAACAAAGAACACTTTGCTGCCTAAAACAGATGCAAGGATTAAACTATTCACAGAGTTGGCAAATAGATATTGAGCCCTTAATTCTTATAGCCACCCTCTCTGAGGTAGGGAAATCTTATTACCCATTGCAGACAGAAGGAAACACAGAGATGAAGTACATTTCCCAAGGCCACACAGTTAGAAATTTGGATCAATGGTATTTATCCCTGGAAGTCTAACCAGTATATACGGTATTGCCTATTCCCCTTGTTCATCCTGCAATCATGTTCCTCTAAACACCACAATCCACTTCCCTTAGCCCTACCCAATGAACACAAACAACAGGTAAAGATAACAACATTATGGAAGATAGGTCCCAAGTGTGTGTGTGATTTGCAAAGTCATTTCTCCACAAAGTCCATCATGAAAAATTCATAGAGGCCATACGTCAAAGGCACTAATAGATATGTCTACTTTGTACCTCAAAAGATAAAAATACATACATATTACATATTTGATCTATTTGCCTTATGGGAGGACAGCATGAAATTTGATCCAAACAAATAATGCTTATCATTGGGATGCTCTCCACCCAACCCCTGATGAAGGAAAAGGTCCTTTTTGCACGCACTGTAAGTAGGCACGTGATAATATAAAACTAAATGGTAGATCTGGTAAGATCATTTCCCTGTGTCAGGATGGGCTCACTGGGAGTAAGTTACTTTAAATGAATCACAACATGTTCCAGACATGGGCAGGGCTCAAGCCTGAACTTTGATACACAGAATTCTCCAACAGGTGACTCATGGGTTGCATCTGACCCAAGACACATGTGTATGTGTGGTGGCAGTGTGCAAAAACATAATGTTTTGAAGTATTAGAGCCACCTATGAATTAAAAGATACAGGCAATGACCATCACAAAAAGAGACAACCAGACACCATGCATTCCTAATAAAGGACTATGTCACTACCTACAAAACTGTCTTGGCAGAAAAACTGAACCTGTATCTGATTAAACCTCTTCATTGCTTTATGGGAAATATAGAGGACAGGAGAACAATATTAAGCAACACAACACGGATGCAGTCAGCCAAACTCATACTTGTGGAAGACTCTACAGGACAAACAAATTAATCTAACAAACAAGTTGCAAGAAAGAGAAAAAGATAAAGGGAAAAATGAATGGATTAAAATATATTTAAGACATATCAACCAAACCACATATTCACACATTTGAATTCCAATTACAACAAACTAAAGAAACAAAATCTTCATTCTTAGAACTGAGGAAATGGGAACAGTCCCGGGATTGTGAAGACATTTCAGGTGTGTGTGATGATGGTAATATAGTTTATAGGTGAAATAATATGATGTCTGAACCTTACTTCAAAATCATCAGGGCAGGGGAGAGGTAAGTGAGGACAATGAGGTAACAGAAGTTGAGTGATGAGAGTTCATTAAACTACTACTATCTAAACTACTATCTACTTCTGACTATATCTAACATTTTCTGAAATAAAAAAGTAAAAATTAAGCCTTCACTGAAAAATATCTGGAGCGCTCTCATTTTAAAAACCAAACTTCTGGCTTCTCTTAAAAACTCAAGGTTTTAGCAACACTTGGCTTTTTTTTTTTTTTTTTCAGATGAAGTCTCGCTCTGTCGCCTAGGCTGGGGTGCAATGGCATGATCTCAGCTTACTGCAACCTCTGCCTCCCAGGTTCAAGTGAGTCTCCTGCCTCGGCCCCCTGAGTGGCTGGGATTACAGGCACTTGCCATCATGCCTGACTGATTTTTGTATTTTTGTAGAGATGGGGGTTTCACCACGTTGGCCAGGCTGGTCTTGAACACCTGACCTCAGGTGATCCACCCACCTTGGCCTCCCAAAGTGCTGGGATTACAGGCGTGAGCCACTGCACCTGGCCTCACTCGGCCCTCTTTCCTGCCCTGTAGTAATGAGCTAAATCTGTGGGCAGCTCCCCGCTTTAGATGGAGCAGGTGCTGCAGAGTTCGCTAGAGTCCCCATCATTCCTACTGTCTCCACAGCACTGAGACTGCTTTTCAGCTGACCCTTACCCAACCCAGTTTAGCTGTTTAGGTTCTCTGCCTCCACCCAGTAAGTATGTCAGTTTGCAATGACTGGGCATTTGCCTACAAATGCAGAAGTATACCCAGGCAGATCAGGTCCTATATGTTCCCAAAAACAGCCACCGCCAAAAATCCATCTGGATAATAGAGCAGAGGGAGGAAGGCAGGGAAACAGCCTGCAAAGTACTAGCAGGATGCAGTCAGTTGTCTGGGGAAAGGTAAATTTGGTCTCAGTAAATTCTTTGTTCATTTTTAGTGGGATTCTTGGAGGCAGCAATCCATACTTCCTAGGCTGGAGAGTCGTAAGTGATGGAGACTCCTGGTGGCCAGGCTGGGAGGATGGCAGTGAGGATAAAAGTAAAAGAACCTGATGCAGGTTAGAAATTTGAGGTTGTTGAAAACAGACAGTTGTATGGGCCAGATGGAGTTGGCTATTTTTCTTGCCTTTAATCTTAAACAATGTTATGCTAAGGGTCAATGCTTTTCACACATAATATTTTGTCAGCCATTTTGCATGGCAATGTAAGTATGCTGCATATAGTACAAAAATTGGCACCACACTTAAGTATCCCTTGATTACATCTGTCAATTATAGTAGTTCAGTAAATGGACAGCAACTTACTGTTATAGTGACTAGCAACATTTTTACCAATAACTTTTATAGAAAAGAAAAATCTCTGCTAATGATGCTACATTTTAAAAGAATACTGCAATTTTTTTTTTTTCCACATAATGGCAATGAGTTTTCCATAAATATCATCATGTAAAAGGAGTATCTGTAGAGTACGGTCAGTTTCTTGGGTTAAATAAGTCAGCAAACAGTTCAGTTTTTGTTGCATTTATCCCAAGAAAAGAAAACATTTTTCTAACAATATAATTAATCTTGTTTTCACATTTGTTTCAGCTTAAATCCTGGCTAAATGCTTAGGAAACAGGTGCTCCAAGAATTTCAGAAGTATGCCTCCAACTTTTTCTAGCACGATGTAACATACTAGGAGCCACAGTTTTTGGTCAATAACATGTATTTTATAATCCTTCACTGTGCTTGTCAACCATATTTTTGGAAATGTTTCATTGCACAATTTTTCTGGGAAATGTCATTATATGATATCATCTCTGGGCAACTTGTTTGCCAAATTGTTTAGGCGGATGACTAGAAAACTGCTTCAAAATTTTCATGAAATTGCTATCCATTCCATCACTCAAATTACTGATTATCCTATCGCTGATAAAGATATAAATTGTTGACTCCCGCAGTAAAATGGTCATTGTAATGCCATTATTAATTATAGAACTACCAATTAAAAGACAAATATACTTCTCTGGCAGATGCATACACAGCATACATTTGTGTATGTATACATATTTATTTGTACAAATAAATGTATATATGTATAAATGTTCATGTTTGTAAAATTACATATTTATATATATATAAGTATTTAAAATATAATGCAATTTATTTACATATTGGATTTTTCTCATTTCTCCACACAATCTCTTGTCTCTCTGTCTCTGTCTCTCTCTCTCAGGCACACACAAACACACACTCTCACACACATGCACACACACACACTCTCTCTCTCTCTCTCTCACACATACACACACAGAGACAGGAGATTTTTTATTAGTGGCTTTATACAATACATAACACAATGCCCTTTACAGAAGCACTGAATAATCTTGACAATTACAAATGGATTCCTTTGAAATATTGTATGAACATTAAACCAAAAAAATTTATTTGTGTTAAGAATAGGGTAACAAATATGAAAGTGATTTTAATAAAGGTCTTCCTAAATTTTGCTAATCAATGTATGCATCATAGAGGGGTATTATCTTCCTCAATCACCACTAGGAGATTAGGAGAAAAAAAGAATAGTGACTGAACAGACGTGTAAGAATGATACACAAAACCTCATAGTAAAAGTGGAAAAGAAGAAACATTTTGTAAACCTGAAATGTCTTGGAATATAATTTTCCATGTGGAATCTGGCTCAAATGGCATGTCAGATGCCAACTGGAGCAGCCACAGGCATGTGAGCTACAGCACTGTCTAAAGGATGCCACTAGTCTCAATATATTCCCAGTAACAGTGAGTTGGTGGAAAGAGCTGTTCTGGCCTAGTAACTGAAGGCAACTACCAGGCAGTTAAATGACAGGGCTTCATGACTGAGACTGCTATTGAAAAAGAAGAAGGTTTGTGTGTCTGATGGGTGAACTCATGCAATAATACTAATATGGGGGCGGGCATGGGCCGGGGGAGTTGAAAATGAGAAAAAGCATTATATGAAGATATCAAGCAATCAATGTGAATAAGATAGACTCAGAGTAGCAAAATGAAAAGTAACAAGGAATACAAGAACAGAAGTCTAGGTGAGACTTCAGTACATGATTTAAGACAGAAATCTTACACTTTTAATCAAAATGTTGCAATATTAAGAGTTGGAAGAAAAAATGTACCTTGTTTTGTGCTGCTAAAAGAAATATCTCAGTTTTCATAACTGGCTCTACAGACTTCCATCACTTTCTAAATTGGTAATGCACAAACAAAAATGGCAAGGAATTTATTCACTTATTTATTTATTTATTTAGAGACAAGGTCTCCTGCTGTTGCCCAGGCTGGAGTGCAGCAGCTGCAATCAGGGCTCACTACAGCCTCAACCCCTCTGCTCAAGCGATCCTCTCACCTCAGTCTCCTCAGTAGCTGGGACCACGGGCATACATCACCATACCCAGCTAATTTTTCATTTTTTGTAGAGACAAGGTCTCATTATGTTGCCTGGGCTAGTCTTGAACTCCTGGGCTCAAGTCATTCTCTCGACCTCTCAAAATGCTGAGATTACAGGTGTGAGCCACTGCACTCAGCGTAATTGTTTATTTTGCAGCTGTCCAGTAATGAAATTCTTCTGTAGTTGCTGTTATGAAAATTTAGTGAAGAAACTATTTCCACACGGCCTTTTGAGGCCTTATAGGTGACTGCTACATTTAAAATATTTGCGGCCACTCTACATGATAAAAGCTTACATTCCCAGAACTAAGATTATTAACTGGACTGTAAAAAGAGATTTTGCTCCTTGTTTTCAGTGTCAAGTAAAATACATCTTCATCTCAATAAAAATGTGAGTGATATGATCAAACTATATACAGATTCAAAGAACTTGCATCATTAAGTCCTTTTTATTTTCACAGCTTGGAAAAACTGCAACGAGCTTGGGAAAACCAAAAGGTAGCACTTATACATGACTTTACAGGTCTAAAATAGATTTGCACATATATTTGCTCTCATCCTATTTTCCTGAGGCTGGTATCATTATCATTCTCATTTTATACATGACAAAGCGAGACCAAAGAAGTTTCAATGGCTCGCTTAAGTACACACCCTTAGTAAATGACAGAGCCATTAACTTCAAGTTGCAAGCCATGTCCACTATGCATCATGCTGCTTCACCGAAGCAATTCAAGGCAGAGGAAGCTACATCTAAATAAGAGTTGCAAGTGTTAAGATTCTTCTCTAGCCTAAAAAAGACAAGACTGTAAAAGGAAAAAGAACGTATGATCTATATGGACTGTGCATTAGGCAGTGCACAAAGACTAAATCTGGACTATAGACGTTTTTATTAGGAGAGAAAGGATGTTAAAAAAATACTAAAATTGACCATCCCCAAGGAGAGAGAACTTCCTATCTTCCTGGAAAGCAGAGAGGTAGAACAAATAACAGTTGGTGGCACCCTAGGTTGTACGTGTTTGGTGTCACATGTGTGTCAAATACCAAATGCAAGGAGTCCCAAATGTGTCAGGAGAAAGTCTAGACCCAAGGCCCCTAGATGGTAACCACGTCATGCTCCCATCCTGTTCCTTTTGGGGAATCCATTAACTATTCTATCTGCCCAGAAGTTCAAGATGTTCATAGGTTTTGTCGGTAAAAATAGCTGATGAGCAAGTGTTCTCAAATTTACCCTTTGTAATAAGGGTTTAAAAAAAAAATAAATGGAACAACAGACAGGATGGTAAATAAAGAGAAGACTCTTCATAACATTTAAGTTTCTTAAAAAGGATATTGTAAGCTCATGAATGAGCAGGAAATTAATAAAGTAAACCTTTACTAACCACAGGAACAATAAACTGTTAAAGCACGGAGCAGAAAGAAACATATGTTAACAATGAATAATAGATAACATTTACATGACTTTTACATTTTCTGGTTTTACATTTTCTGGTTTGTTGTTAAATTGACCATTTTGAATAATGGTTAAACCATTTCTATTATCATCTTAGCTTCACAAATTACACAGATCTTCTTGTACAGAGTGTGTGAAAAGCTCAATACGTTTGGGCGGAAGCTAATTGACTCAAAATCCAAAGTTTTGATTTAAACAGGAGGAGATGGTTGCAAGAGAGCTCATCTAAACAATATGATAGCTGAGCAGATGTGCACTTTATGCCTTAAAACAAAACAACTTACTCTGATATACATTACTTTAAACTTATTTTTAAGAACTTATGCAGCTAATAAGATATTACATCCTCAACGCACATCCTTGCTTTACTACCTTTTTTTTAACTGAGAAAATCATGGCAGAGCGTTCTATGTGAATTGACCAAAGTTAAAACAGCCCGTTCAGGGCAGAACCAGACTCACACTCAAGCCTCCTGGTAATTCATATACGCTCTTCCTACTAGGCTACCTTGCCTCCAACCTCATCCCGAAATCACAAAGAAACTCATGATGTAAATTAACCTTTGGAAAGTATAGTAATAGATGTATATTTCATGCTTACAATTTTATTCTGCAATCTTTATGTATGCATATATAATTGAAAAAAAAAAGGGAAACAATGTGTTGTTGTACATCCAGTTAAATAAAACTATATTTTCTGGGGAACTTAAATATTAGATAAAATAAAGATTAAAAAAAAGTTTTTTTAGTGTTATGGGTCATATTCAGACCTTCTTATTGGCAAATAAATAGATGGATGTATCTTTAAATAATCAGATGGTCTCTCTAAAAAATTCAGATAACACTTTCCTCCTTACAGATCTGTGGTTGGCTGGGTTTCTTCCTAAAATAAGCTAGCCCTACCTTCCAGAGTAGTCACAGTAGAGATTCCAGAAAATCACAGGAGAGATTTCAGGCTACATACTATGCCACATGGGTTAACTGTTTAGCCAAATTGAGTTAATTCTCATCAGAGATAATTTGATGCTTGTATTACTTGTCTTTTTCAAAATCTACCAGCTTTTAAGGTCTAACGGTGTGCTTGCAACATGGAAAGGGCTTCTTCAGTCATTTGGTCTGAATAAACAGTTTATATGATGGTCTATAAGAAACAATGATATGCCCATGGTGACAAAAGTTTCATTTGTTTTACAGAAAGAAACTGTTAAACCATAGTCCAATAGATCTTAGAAGACCATGTAAAATTACTTTTAAAATGTTTAAAATGATTTTCAGTGTTTAACACCTACTTTTCTGTTCACAGAAGCGCTTCTGTGTCTTCCCAGTTACGATGCTCTTGAGAGTCAATGAATGGCCCATAAGCCATGGTTCTACAACTTTCAGCAAGGTAAGCAACATTCACCAAAAACTTAAAAGGGAGTACATGTTTTTGCTTTAGCCACCTGGATTCTCCAATACAGTTTGGCTCTTATATCCTAACTCACCTCACATGATAATCTGTTGCTGGTCTAAGATCTTTCAGGTTACATTCTAATTCTTCTCCACTGTAAAGAAAAAGCATTCATTAGTTGCTAATTCCAGTTTCAAAAGCAAACGAGATTTGGAATTTGGGTGTCCAGTAATGTACTGACAATAATTCATGAACTATTATGTCAGATTCCACCATAAACCAGAAATAAACTTTCTTATTTGATATTATTATTTGTTTGGGACTAGAAAATCAGGTTCTTTTTAATGATGCCATCTTAGATCTCGAAAATGGCATGGTTAACTTACTAATAAAATTCTAAAAGATCTTATCACTTCTTACGAGTAAATACATATAAGTAACTAAGTAAGCAAATGAATGAATGAACAAACAAATGAATAAAAATGATCATACCAGCTGTTAACAGAAGGCACTTTCCACACTTACCTTGGCAGGAACCTCAATTATCTCAACTCTGGACTGTCTTAAGAAAAATCACAATCTCACTTCCTCACTTACCAATGCACCGAACAAATAGCTCTCTTCAATAAAATAAAACCATTTATGTCCTCAAAAGTTGCAACTGAACCTCACCTTAAATCATGAGGAAGTAACCAACCAAAATAAGGAATGTTCTATTGAAAATTTTTAAAAAGGTTAAAGGTGTGTGTGCATGTGACTTACTTTGTGTTCTTCAAAAATATCAGTGTCATAAAAGTATAAGAAATATTGTGGAATTGTTCCAAATTAAAGAAGGCTAAAGAGACATGACAACTAAAGGTACTGTATGACCCTAGACTAGCTCCTGCGCGGGAAGGGGTGAAAACTGCCCAATTTTTCAAAATATAACAGGCATTATTTATAGACCAAGCGACAAAAGCTGGAATATAGACAACAGATAAAAGTATCATATCAATGTAAGTTTATGAAGTTATAATTACACTGTGGTTCTTTAAAAAAATTCTTATAGGAAATATCCTGAAGTATTTTGTAGTAAGGGACCATTACATATAAAACTTATGAAAAAAAAGGCCGGGCGCGGTGGCTCACGCCTGTTATCCGAGCACTTTGGGAGGCCAAGGAGGGCGGATCACGAGGTCAGGAGATCGAGACCATCCTGGCTAACACGGTGAAACCCCGTCTCTACTAAAAATACAAAAAATTAGCCGGGCGTGGTGGCGGGCACCTGTAATCCTACCTACTCAGGAGGCTGAGGCAGGAGAATGGCGTGAACCCAGGAGGCGGAGCTTGCAGTGAGCCAAGATAGTGCCACTGCACTCCAGCCTGGGCGACAGAGCAAGACTCTGTCTCAAAAAAAAAACACTTATGGAAAAAAATGTGGATTGAGGACAGAAAGAGGAAAAGAGGAAGGAGTTCAAATGATAAAGCAGAGTATAAAGTTAATAACAAGTGAATCTGGATATGGAGTATATAGGTATTCCTTGATTTCTCTATTTTGGGGACATCTTATAAGTTTGAAACTATTCCAAATAAAAGGCTGGGTTTTAAGTTGAAAACTGGAAGCTGTGTCCAGACCTTGCCTGAAGCTCTGTTGTCTGGCCTACATTGTATCTTTAAAATATCTTGCATTTGTTCCATTAATTTAATAACAGGGAAGTTTGTATAATAATTCAGATTTTCAGCATCTTTTGAAAAAAAATTCAAAGAATCAGCAAATTTTAGCAACAATCAACTTAGGCTGAGTGGTGACTGCTTCCTTTCGATGGCAACAGGAGCTCTCCTGTTCACCTCATTTTCAGCCTTTCCACTTTGCTCATGTATGTTACCTGCTGAGCCTCTCTGGGCACGTGAGCCTCTAGCTCCTGCCACCAATGTTCATCTTGCATGAAAAGACTCTATCCACAGTTGTCCCGCAGTATACACAAGGAATCAGTACCAGGACCCCACCCCCACAGAGCGTATACACATACTCAAGTCCCCAGTTGGCCCTGCATATCCACAGGTCTCATATCCCGTGAATATTGTTCTGGTCTGCATGTGGCTGACAAGGAATCCGTGCATAAGTGGGTCCGTGCAGTTCAGACCTGTGTTGTTCAAGGGTCAATTGCATCTGTTCCTTGCCAGGCATGGGGGACATGGCACTCTGTATTTCTTTAAAGTTGCTACTAATTCTGATTTTTCAGACTAGAATAAAACGGTGATGAGCCAGAGTTAGGAATATCCTAAATACAGTGGGGAATCCCTGGAGTGTTATCAGAAGGGCAGTGATCTGGCCTGAGTTTGTTTCTGCAGTGAGTAGGCAAGCTTGTAGAAGAGCAAGAGTCGGGGGTGGAAGACCTGCAGGAGACTCCTGAGGGCGTCCAGGGAAGAGACAGTGGAGGTAGCCTGGGTAGCAAGAGGAGGACACAGCAGCCACAGGGCTTGAGTCCTTAACCTCTGTCCCTCTTTCCTTGTCAGGAAGACTGTCTGTGGAGCAAGAATTAGGAACAGGAAAGGGGAGATACGCATCTGTGGCACTGATGCAGCAGGAAAATAGGGGAGAAAAGAAACATCTCTGGCAGAAAAAGTGAGGATTGTGTGACCACATTATTACCCTGGGCACGGGCAGTCACTGGAGGGTCCACTCACAGGGAGGCCAAACAAGCAGTTAAAACAAAACTAACTTTCTGATTTCCTGCTCTGCAAATCTGAGCAGTACCCAGTAATTACAAAGAAGAAAGACGTGGCCCTAAAATTTTTCTCACATTTAGAACACAGTTATAAATCTTTTGAATGGTCAATACCTGGGAGTCCACAGAGCAGAAGGGGCTAATCCCTTCCCTGTGAGCCAAACTTTTGACCACTTAAGGCCTCCAAATGAAATGTTTTAAAGTATCTTTATTACAGGCTGGAAACTATTGTGCAAGGTAAGAAATAGGGTAAAACAGAAGGAAACATATTGTAGAACTTTAAAAAACAGGGCTACAAAAAGGTCTGGATCTAAAACATAAGCGGTCACCTTATAATCGCCCAATGTATGCAAAAACTAAAAGTCATAATCGCCTTTTGCCGACAGACATTAACAGAAAGTTTTCATTAATACTCTACTGACAGCAAATATAACCAAGTGATGTATTACACCCATACCAAATAGCTCTATGCTACTCATTTCCAAATAAGAATTACTCTGGACACAATGAATTCTTAGCATTATAATTATTACTAAATCTTAAAATAAACTAAAGGAAAATTTGCCAAGCCTATAAGGTTTTCCTTTGTTTTCCATTTTCCTTCACAACTCCAATTTTACAGTTTAGCAGCAAAGAAAAACAATAGAAACATACACAACCTGTAAATTATCTTGTATTTTCCATCTCGTCCTTTGTCTGATAAGGCCACCTCGTAACTGTAGGGGAAGGAAAGACCACTGTGGGGTCCACAGGAAAGTCCAACAGGGGGAGCCCAGGACAACACAACTGCTCTTGCCTGAATATTAGAAACCTGAGGAAGAAAAACATGGGACAAAAGTATTCAAATCCATTTTACATTTTCAGAATTATTAGTAGTGGCATAAAACTGGCTCACAGTTAATCCAAGGTAAACTAGTTTAATTACAATGAAAGACATCTTATATGGTGCTCTCTTTCAAAGTCCTGGTATCCAAAATATGGTTCTTGCAACATCTGTCCTTATAATGCCAACTTTCATCCAAATCCAGTGCAATTTGCATTCTGTCCTCCATAAAGTAAAATAATGTCATGCGAGGGAATTTTTTTTTAACGTAAGTAAAAAGCTGAATGTATGATTTCTACATTATGTGGAAGAAGCCATACCCACAGGTACTTTGATCTGGTTTCAAGCCTTGCATGGTGTCAAATCATTCTTCAAAGCTAATACCTTTCCAACAATACCCGCTGAAGTCCTGCAGATTCCCAGGAGAACCCAATGGGTGGAAAACTGGAACCAAGGACCAGGCTGATATGGGATTAATATCATTATAGATGTGGAGATGTTTCACCTCTCTAAGCTCTGCTTTCATACTTTTGGTTTAGCCTCTGCTTCAGATTTCATTTGAACCGAAGACTCTGGGACTTAAAATACCCAGAACCTTCTTAAAATACTACTCTGAGGCATGTTTTACAAAATCTACTCCATCTTCCAGAGGTGTTTATAAGGACTAAGCTCTGACTGGCCACAGCTGTAACCTGTTTATTGATAGACCCCCGCATGGGCTTCCTTCCTGATACGGTTTGGATTTGTGTCCCCACCCAAATCTCATGTCAGATTGCAATCCCCAATCTTGGAGGAGGGCCTGGTGGGAGGTGACTGGATCATTGTGGTGGACTTCCCCCTTGCTGTTCTCCTGATGTGAGTTCTCACAAGATCTGGTTGTTTAAAAGTGTGTGGCACTTCCCCCTTCTCTCTATCTTCCTCCTTCTCGGGCAACGTAAGACATGTCTGCTTCCCCTTTTCTTCCACCATGATTGTAAGTCTCCTGAGGCCTTCCCAGCCATGCTTGTACAGCCTGCAGAAGCATGAGTCAATTAAACCTCTTTTCTTCATAAATTACCCAATCTCAGGTAGCTCTTCATAGCAATGCGAGAACAGACTAATACACTTCCCTTCTCTGTCTCAGTTCCCTTGTCTCTAACCAGGGCTTCCTGGATCACATCCCCACATAAACTATTTGCACTCAATACTTGGTTTTAGAGACCATTTCTGGAGAAACCCAACCTAAAATATGATCTAATTATTTAAAATAAATCTAAGGACAAAACTTTAACGCTGTAACTGTCTAAAGGCTATTCTATTGCTATCTGGATATTGGTCTGGATAGCATATTAAAAACAAAAAAGACAATACAGACGCTAAAGCTTAATGTTCACAAAGACTTTATAGCTGTAGATTATTAGGCTGTAGATGGAGACAGGTAAACTGTTCAGTCCCTTTTTTTCCTTCTTCCATTTTTGTCACTATAGGATCTACATAAAGATTATTGGAATTATTAAATACTTGAAATACAAATAATAAATATGGAAAATGAATGCAGAGTCTCTCTTCAGTCTGTCCTTCACTACATTTTTAGTGGAGATCACTTCGTACTATTTATTCCATATAAATAGAATATCATGATATATTTAGCCAATTATTTAGTCAAACTCCTGCTCATCCTTAAAGACCGCAGCCCGGCCTCACTACCTCCCAGTAGCCTTCTCTAAATTATCTCATGCATTGTCACTCCTCCATGTTCTACAGAACCTTGTGGATACTGCTATAATTGCTAATCACATTATGGCCTTTGTCTACCTCCCTTGGGCTTTGAGACTCCCTAAGGACAGAATCCAAGTCATAGTCAACTGTGATCAGTGGTTGCTTAGTAAATGTTTGTTGAATAAAAAATCTAGGGAAATAAGATAGTCTGAGTTTCTGACACAGACTATCAGAAGATGGTAGGCTTGCATTACACATCTCTTTAAAACATCTGAGGAAGACTGCTATAGCTCCAGACTAGCAGCTCCTCTTCCCCACCCCTCCAACCCATCTGCACCACGATGCTGTGACCAAACCTCCAGGATGCTGGCCTCTCTTATGCCCTCTCTCACACCCCTGGGACTTAGCTTTTAACTCTCCTACTTCCTTGGTTTTAACCAACTTCTCTTGGACCCACTTCAAATGCTGCCTTTGTTTACTCATTTAATGGTCATACCTCACCCTGTGAGGGGCTGTGGATACAAAGATGATTAAGGTATGATCTTTGGCCTCGAGGAGCCCCAACCTGTTGAAGAGAGACAGGCACATGAGGGGCCTCATGGCAGATATACTGAACACAGAGGGACTCTTAAGTGTTCTGAGACTGATTCTGGACAGGTTCCTGTACCGTCTGCACTGTCAGATTCAACCACTCTTCTTTGTACTCTTGCCTATTTTCCATCCCTGCATTTGGTGCATATTCCATTACACAGAGCATTACTTGGTTATTTGTGTGTTGTTTCTCTACCTAGATTTTAAGACAGCATTTCCAACATACAACAGTATATCTGCTCAATTCCTTCACATACCATTAATGAGTAATCCTGAGGTATTGGGTATCATATTTTATTTTTAACGTGGGAGATAATTTGTTACAAAGAGTTTGGTTTCTTGGAAAAAAAGGAGGCTCATTAGGTACTGGAAAACACTCAGCCAAGGTGATAAGTGGCTGCTTTGCACCCAAGAACACAGAAGACAGTAACACTGATTCCATGAATGGTGGTGTGAAATAACCATGTCTCAAAATAGCTCAGTCAAATGCCAACGTTCTAGATACCAAACAAATATCCATGAAGTCACATCCCTTTAAACTCTACCTTTTATGTCAGCTATGACAACTTTACTTTTTTCCCTTAGGACTTGGTTAAATTATTATTTACCTGAACAGAGAAATACAACACTTGAAGCATCAACTAAAATAACATTCACTTTTTCCCTAGAGTCCCTAAGCAAGCCTTCAGGATGTACACTGTCATCAGCATGCAATGCAGGTGTTTGTGGAAATACATTCTTCCAATGTGCCAGCCTATCAGAAATGCAGTTTGAGAACTCAGCATCATTCTCAAAGGAAAGCGGTTTCTGTGAATTCTTTCCTTGAGCTAAGCAGCCTGACACCCAGATCATGATGATGTTCTGGGGCCAAATCCTTCTTGTCCTCCTGCTCTCTCCCTTTCACTGACTCTTGGCCCGAGGTTTCCCTTGTTTAGGCAATGGAATGAGGAGAAAAAGATCACTTAGTCTCCATTAGGACTTGGAACTTGTTTCCACTTAAGGCTGATTCCAGAAACTGACATGCTGTCTTTCAAGAGAATGTCACTTGAAGGTGAATTCTCAGCACTAGACATATTTACTCCAAGTGTCCTGGGAGGTAATGCCTTAATGAGAGATTTGGAACTCTAGGAACTCTATCTAGGTTCATGCCGATTTCAGAGCAACAACACTCATATATGACCTTCACATTGCAAGTCTGCCTGTGCTGAAACTTTCTTGCCAGCAGTGACCAACAAGCTTAACTAGGGCACGGCTAATCTGATCATCACAGTGATCACCATGGCTGTTTGTTCCCCTCACCCCTCAAAAAAGTTTAGAAGCCATAAAACTGACTTCCTGATATTTAATTAACCTACCGTAACTAGAAAGTCAATCTCCTTTGTAATGGTGATAAAAGGGGTAATTTGTAGTTATAAAATTATTGGACGAGGTGCAATCTGACATTTGTTTCTGCAATAGTAATATAAAGGGGTCTGTTGTATAGGTTACTAGTATACATTTGCATATGAATTATTTAAACTAAACTGCTTTTGAGCACCTTGAAGGACTCACAAAATTACTTCCTACTACTAAGTGGTCACATACTAATTATAAATCATTCCTGTCTATTTATTAAATGTAGATTCCAATTCAAAAGCAGTTCAATAACTGCTATAAAAGGGTCTGTTGTACAGGTTACTAGTGTAAGTCTGCATATGAATTATTTAAACTAAACTGCTTTTGAGCACCTTGAAGGACTCATAAAATTACTTCCTACTTGTAAATGGTCACATACTGATTAGAAATCACTCGTCTATTTATTAAATGTAGATTCCAACTTGAAAGCAGTTGTTCTATATGTGTGTGTATAAGGAAATTATAAAACCGCATTGTCCTGTAGCTATTTGATACGTAATCCATAGCTTGCTTTCTCCTTGCACCTTCTCTCCTGTTCATCCCAATATTTTAATACTGTTCTGTAAAATTTTCCATTTTTTTCTGATATTTTATTATTATGCAAATGATAGTACTTGGATCAGAAACACCATTTATTCTCATAGTTACTAAATTGTTTCTTTCATGTTCAAAAATATTTCCTTGTACATTGGTAGCTTCTAAATTTGCTCTGGCCTTTGGATTGAACTATGTGGGAGGCCTACTGATCTAATTAAAGAGTACACTAAGGAAATATTACCACACAAATACTGGCTTCACTTCTAAAGGATCATCATGAGAAACACCACCACAAAGGAAAATAAATGAAAAAGGAAAAGGTTAAAGAAAAAGGATACTGAAATCTAAGAATTTCACAGTCATCTGTTTTTATGATTCCTGAAGTGCTAAGAGCCGCCTATCTGCTCCCAGATGCACTACTGTTTATCTTTCAAGGGATTGCTTCTTACAGGGGAAGTGTTCCTCGCAGGTCAGTTTACTCGCTTCTGGAACCGACAAATCAATTGTTCCAACAAGCTAAACATTCGCGGATGGAAACAATGCAGAACCACAATTCCAGGTTACATTATTTATATCCTGAAAATAAACAGCCCACCAGTCTATGGGAGACTACATCTAGCACCACCACCAGAGAAGGTCAGACCACATTAGGCTCGAGATGGCTGGCTAATTCCTAAGCCACTCAGAATAATATCAGGCTTATTGCTCTGTCATGGTGGAGGCTATACCAGTGAAGTCCCCATAGCACCTAACTGTTCCAGTCCCAAGATAAATACCTAGTATACTTGTATACCATTTTAATAAAATTTAAATGAAACTAAGTATTTGGACCTTTGCAGTAGCTGGGTCTCTGAAGAGTAAAAGACTTGCTCAATTCAGGGTGCCCAAAGTCCTAGAAAGATGACTGGAATCCACAAGTTCTGCACCTAAATAAAATCATCTGCAAAACCTCAAAGCAAAATATATGCCTTTTATTTAGAGGTGCTACCAGTTGTGGCTGAAAGGAACACAAAATTAAATAATCCTTTTTACAACTGTGCTCCCAACTTTGCATGGCTCTGCTTCTTTCCCTGTCAGATGGCCTGATACCTCTTCCTTCCCATGTAAGAGCACAGAAGTTTCACTTTTGCTTAGTGATACGCTACAAACTATAAATACTGCATTCCAAGTATATAATTTACTTCTCATATAGTCCCAGGTAGTATTTCTTATCCTACCTTTCAAAGATGAGGAAACTGAGGCACAAAGAAATGATGTAACTTACCCAAGGTCACAAAGACAGGTAACAGCCAATGCAAGTCCCAACCCAGAGTGCCAGATTGCAAAGCACAGGCCTTCCCTCTAGTGGCTGCTGCCTTACACGCTGGCGGAGGCACATCCTGAGGCTGGTCAGACTTCCGGCGTTTGTGCCCCCGGCCAGAACCCAGCTACAGCCACACAGTTATTCAGCAAAGATCTATTAAGGGGTCACTATGTCCCAAGGACAGTGCTAGGTATTAGGAGCGAAAAGTTAAATAACACACAATCACAAACAAGAACTTCAGAGAGAAAAGTGGTACGAAGAGGAAAGACAGAAACTGCATAAACAACTAATTGGGCTGGAAAGAAACAGTGGACTGTCTCAGGCAATAACATTTATGAGGATCAGAAGGGGAGTGTGGTAGGTCCCCAAAGAGGTCCACATCCTAGTCCTTGGAACCTATGAATACCTTATATGGCAAAAGGGACTTTGAAGGTGTGACCAAGTTAAGGCTCTCGTGAAGGGGAGACTTAACCTGGATTATCTGGCTGGGCCCAGTAAAATCACGGGGGTCCTTATAAGTGAAAGAGGGAGGCAGGACAGTGAGAGACAGGCATGTGAGAATGGAAGCAGAAGCTGGGGGAATATGGCTGCTGACTTTGCAGACAAAGCCAAGGGATGCAGGCTGCCTTTAGAAACTGGAAAAGGCAAGAAAACAGATTTTGTCCCAAAGCCTCTAGAAAGAAATATAGCCCTGCCAACACCTTGATTACAGCCTAGCCAGAGACATTTTGGACTTTCTGGCCTCTAGACCTTTATGACAATAAATTTGTACTGTTTTACGCCATTCAATTTGTGGTAAATCATTACAGCAGCAATAGGAAACATATAGGTGGAGAGAAAGAGAAGTTGTTTTAGTCATGTGCAAAAGCAGGAGGCACGAACAAGCATGGCACTCTTCATACAAACTCCCCTTGTCTGATATGCCTTCAGCCCAGGCAACCTGGATACACTTACACTGCCATCCAGAGAACCAGACATGCAGGGTGGTTAGCACCAACCACCACCCACATGTTGGCAAAGCAACTGTGTCCAGAGACGCCCACTTCCTATCAGGTGATTTTCATCAAACTGCTTAAAAGGTAGGGTGTAGTATTTTGGCAAGTTCAAGCCTCACTGTTAAAAAGGGCATGAGATATAAATGCGGATCTACAGATCTTTCATGACTCTGGAGTGTGTAACTACTTGAGGCTTTGTTTCTACTCACCTCCAGAAAGTTTCTCAACGTGCCTTTTCCAAACCTAGAAAGATAATGTGCTGCTTATGCTACAGAATTAACAACTCCAGCTTTATAGGACTAAGGAAACTCTTCAGCTATACTGACTACGTCTGTGCCCATCTAAGCCACGCTGATATGGAAATGTTATCTTTTGACTGAATTTCTCATTCAAAGTCCACTTCAAAGGTTTGGAGGAGGGTAATGAGACAGGATAGAGTCCAGTTAAGCTGGCTGGCCCTGCAGACAGGCTGTTACCTTGTGGCATTTACCTGAGTGAATTCGCCAGGTCCAGGCCCCTGCCCAGTGACTCAGACAATCTAGCCGGTATTCCAGAGTCAGACTTGAATGTCAAACTATAAGACTTATGGAATCAGATATATACAATCAGACTGCCAGTTAATTGATTCATAATGAGAAACAGAAGTATCTGGTAGATTAGATAGCACTGTCAACCTGCCTCACATACTTTCTCTCTGTTGGCAACAAGGAAGTCAAATTCTCAAAAGGCTACTAAGTGAGCACCAAATGAAAACAAGGGGAGTTATCTACATGATTCAGGGGCCTAAAGGCACTAGGCTCTGAGAAGCCAATTCTCTGCGATGGGTACAGAACGGCCTGGCCAGACTGTCATGGATAGAGCTAACATCTGTGTGCTTCTGTAGCCAAGCAATGCTTGTTTCCAAATGATACAGGCAAAAGTTCTCAGATGACGCTCTTACCCTATTATATTTTACAACACAGCTACTTACAAAAAGCCTATTACCCTGCCCTAAAACCTCAAAAGATTAAATGCCTAAGAAATACTGCATCAAGAAAAAGGACCAATGAATCTAAATATGGCTTTTGTCTTGCTAGAGCCATCTCACCCACAAGAAACAGAGATTCTGTCACTTCTTCAGCAGAGCAGTGACTAGGAATATCTGAGGAACAGCACTGTGTGCATAAACATGATTAAGAAGCGACTATGGAGTTCTGAAACTACATTTGGGGCCATGAGTGAACCCGCTGCTCTGCCCTCTCTCTCTGACTCCTCTGTTTTCCTTACAGATTTTTCTTCTTTCTACTATGCTACAAACATAAGCTTTTTCCATAATTCTGCCCTCACACCTTTTCTGATCTCTCCCTTATACTGCACCCCCGTCTGCAAAGCTATCATCCAATCCTACAACATGAAGTATCATTGCTATGCATGTGATCTCCCTGTCTTGTATCTTGTTCCTCCTCGCTCCTCAGCATCGGCCTACCAGACATTTGCGACCGCCCGCTGTATCTATCTTTCCAGAGTCCCTGACAGTGAAACAAACTCAGCATGTCCAAGAATGGCACTGAAGATACAAAAAGGACAAAGCTGTGAACCTGTCCTAGAGAAACCACAGACCGGGAAAGACACAGAAACAAGTAGATGCAGTACAATATATTAAATACAGTAGCAGAAGTCCATGAAGGGCACAGCAAAGCTGGGGGTAGAGCCTCCCACTTGATGGGCATGGACAGCAATCAGGAAGGCATCTTAGAGGAAGCAATTCCTGAGAGGAGGCATCCAAACCCGAAAGCCCAGTTATCCTTGACATTTGATATCTATTCTAACAGGTTATAGTGCCGTATTCTATCTCTGGAATGGCTCTTGTATCTGTCCCCTGCTGCCTGCCACACAGATGTCACCACCCTAATTTTGACTCCCATAGCCTTTCACCAGGACTACAGTAGCAGATTCTAACACTGCTCTTCCCTGCATCTATCTTCTTCTCACTCCAACTCATCCACCAACTGTTTGATCATTCTGAAAATGCAGCCCTGATTACATAACTTCTTTGCTCAAAAACCCCCAGTGGCAGCCTGCTCCTCACCAGAGTAAGTACAGACTCCCTGCACCCCTCCCAACGGCAACACCCCACTCCTCTACAAGTGCCTTATTATGCCTGTCCTTCAACACACCTCAAGCTTTTAGGTTGTCAAATTCAACTATGTACCCTGAGGCATGTTTGGACTCTTCTGTTAAAAAGCCTCAGTATTTGAAACACATGCAGAATCAAGGTTTTCCAATTCAGCTAGAAAATACTCCAAAGAACTCTGGCTCTCTAATCTCAGATGAAAGGCTGAATCAACATTCTGAGTTTTTCACTTGAATTTCAAAGCACCTGGCAAAATCAAAACCTCACCACTTCGACCATTTTTTTGTCTTGCCATTGCACCCAATGTTCTGGACTTATTTTTCACAGCTAATATTTAAATATCTTTTTGAAGTTTACTTGGAAAAATACTTGGGATTACTGAGGTTTTCAAAAATTATTACTACATTTATATGGTTAAAAAAAAACTACCAAAAGAAAACTGTAGACTGAAAAAAGAGAGAGAAAAAAAAGAATCTTTGGAAAGAATATCTAATTGCATTCAGAATACCTAAATAAAGAAGACATTTCAGTAGATTACGACTACACACAGAAGGCTACTGTTCTATGTCTCATGGTCCATTAATAACTGAACCGAACACTATTTCATAGTTGATGAGTAATCTGCAAAGGGAAAGAGCCCTTTTCCTTACCTACTGTGTGGTGGAAAAAAAAAAAAAGCACATTTGAAATACTTTAAAAAGTGTCATTTATGCTGAGAAATCCAGAAGACATACCTGTGGTTTCTCTATTCCCGAAAGAATGTCTTGCACCCTCTTTACTTCCAACTCATATTCTGCATTGCGAAAAAGAAAAAAGGAAAAACAATACCATTAGAAGGCAGTAAGGTTGTCAAGTTCCTTCCCCAAGGCCTTTTAACTGGAGTTATCATTAAATCAGTTGCCTGTTATCATGAATTTTTGATATTACAAATGTTACCAGGAAAATCAGGAATGAAGGTGTCATTGGGGAATGGAGTTTCACTATGGTTCACTGACTTGTCACTGTATAGTTTTAAGTGTTCGCGATGTTAAGGAGATTAACACGGGGTTCCATTTAACATTTAATAATTTAACAGGCAACAGAGAATAAAGGGTCCTAAGAAGGGCAAGTGGAGGGACCAATGTACCTGGAAACTGAGAGTAATAAGATGTGGTTGAAGAGACAATGGTTATTCCATTCAGGGCTGTGAGCTCAAATCTTTGAGCTGTATTTTTACTTGTTTATTTACTTGTTTTTACTTGTTTACTTAAGTTCACATGTTTACGTTCGACGGGCAGCCACTGGGGTGTCTAAGAAAAGGGACAGATATGATCTTCTTTTGAGCTTGAAAAGATGTGTTTGTCTTCTGTGTGAACAACGGATATATGGAAGGTAAGCAAGGGAACAGAAAGACCAGTCAGTGGATTGCTGCAGTGGCCCAGGCAAAGGAAAGGCTAGAGCTGGCCTGGGCTAGAGCTGAGAGTAGAGACAGTGAGACAGGACTAGTTGAGGAGGTGTGGGTCCTGAAGGACTGGATGTGATGGGTAAGGGTGAGGAAACGTGACACACCAAGGCTAATTCCTAGTTTTCGGCTTGCTCAACTGGATGGATGACGGTGCCTTTTAATAACACGAGGGAAATGGGCATGTTTTGGGGGTGGGGCAATAATTAGGTTTTAGAAATGAAAGAATAGTGCTTGGAGAAGAGAGTACGAGGGGGGAAGGATGTGTACAAAAAAAGATAAGTGATAGAACTTAAGAATCTGCAACTTGTTAGAGGATCTTCTTGATTTTCACAGTGGGCTTGATGGAATCTAATTTTGAGTTTAGAGTAGACTCCATTTAACCTAGTTTATGAGCTAAACGCTAGCGAGATATGATCACTAAGACATATGTCCCTGCCCCCAAGATATTTCAAGTCTAGTGGAGGGAGGTGGGAAGAATGAAACCAAATAGGCAATTACAGTGCCTTGTGATGGGTGCTGTAGTAAAGGTAACCCAAAAGAGGGCATTCGAGATAGTCTTCCAGGAACCAGCATTTAGCTGAGCTCTGTGTATAATAAGCAGGCACTTGGAGGGGAAGGGGGATGTGGACCTAAGGAGTGAGAGATGGGTTAATACGCCCAGCTCTGCACAGACCTGTTTGTCCTTACTGTTCAGGTTTAATCTTAAATTCATCTTTTCAAAAAATCCCACCTTAACTGCTACACCTGACACCAGCCTCATTTCTGTCACTCTTACATGCTATTTCCTTATCAATTATCAAAATCTGAAAAGAACTATCTTTCTTATTTGTTCCCTTGCTTACTTCTGGTCTTTCTTACTAACAAACATAAGATTGAGGAAGACAGAGACACCACAGGGTCCGGAGTAGGCAAATTTTTTCCTAAAGAATCAAATAAATATTTTAAACTTTGTGAGCCACACATAGGTCTCTTGCATATTTTGCTTTTTGTTTGTTTTCATAACGCATTAAAACTTTAACAACCTCTTAGTTTGTGGGCCATACAAAAGCAGGCTACAGGGAGGCTATATAGTTCAATGACCCCTGCCCTAGGACAAAATCACCATTTACCCGCAGCACCCAGCACAGGCCCTACATGTGCAAAGCTCAACAGACGCTTCTTGACTAAATAAATGAACAAAGTCTATATTAAAAATAACAAAAACTTGTAGTTGGCACCACTCCAAACTTTAAAAGGACTTGTTCCTTATTTTTTTTCCTGTTGCGTTCTGTTTAGTAGGACGTGCTACCTTTAGTCTGGTGAGAAATACAAATGGGCTGGTGGTAATATCATGGTTTTGAAAACTGTAGCCTTTTAAAAGAAAACCCACATTCAAAAGACCCAATGTCACAAGCTCATTTATAACTATGTATTCATGTTAAGGTATAAACTGTATCCATAAATCAAAAGTTGACATACCCTCACATTTTCTGGAAGCCCCTGCTAAGTAAACTGTAAATATTATATAATCTCAAGAGATAACTGCCGGTTAGAAAAAAATCAAAACAAAACATAAGCATAGTCACAATAAATGAACTGGTTCAGTTGTTAAAGACAAAATGTTCTCAATTTCTGGTTATTGTAGAATTTGAAGGACCCTATGGTTTCAAACACTCACATAGTTATGTTCAAACAACCAGCTGAAGGAGGTAACTGTTTCCTCTTGCTATGAAGAAGGCATTTAGATTATCTTAGAAAGGCAACAAGTCAGACCCTATCCTTGGAGTAATAAAAGTTTAGAACAGGGATGATCACCTACTCAACACACAAGGAAGGGAAGAATTAAAGGGATCTGCAAATAAAACATCCTCAGGACTATGCACTAGAAATACACTATAAAAGAACAGAGTTAAAACAGGATGCTTTGTCCCACAAAAACTGGAACGCCCCCTCCCACCTTGCTTTCAAATACACATGACAGAAGAAATGGTTATGCTTTTAACAGAAAAAAAGAAAAAATAGAGAAAGAGGCTAGATTAAAAGGAATAATAATAAAAAAATCTGTCCAAAGTCAAAAAAAATGAGTTTCAGGTAAAAGCCAGAAATACAAGGGAAAGGTCCTCCTGAGATAAAAACAACTTCCAAAGAGAGGTCAGGACTTGCCTTCTCTGTTTGCCTTTGATTACAATCACGAAAACTGACATTTCCTGAGCACCTACATACGTGCTCATCTATGCATCATCACCTTGCTAATTTTTACAATATCCCCTGCATGATGGACATTCTCTGCTCCATTTCACAGTGGTGGATAGGAACTTATGCTTACTTAGCTCATCATGGTTCTCACCTCCGGTGCTGGGCACACCACCCATAGGTGTCTTTGTTGACTGAGGAAGGAATATAAGGAACAAATGAGGAAACTGAGGCTCAGAGAGTAGATGTGATTTCTCCAGGGCCACAAGTCTAATACATGGTCCCAAAGCAAGTATAACCTTTGACTGTATCATGAAGAGTTAATAGAGATCTAGGGATCCTGAGGGAGAGGACACTGAGAAAGAAAACATGGGGTTGATACTGGTGGGGTGTTGGCCTTGAGGTGGATGGGAGAAAGAGAAGGCAGCAGAGGAGATCTGCTCAGTCCTATGGGAAGGTTTATGTTGGTTTTCTTATTTGCTTTTAACTTAGAAAAGGTTGTCAAATGAATAGAGCAAAGGCCACCTATCTGCTGGGAATGTATATGAAGAAAGGAAGAATTTAAAAAGTGGGCCTTGAATGGGGCCAAATAAACAAAGGATTCTGAGAAGATCAAAAATAAAAATGGCAGGGCATGGGGAGGGAAGGCAGTGACAAAGCAATCACTGCCCTATCGTGTCTGGTCACTAGCCCCTCATGTTAGGAGAAACGTGGTACCAAGGCCAGATGGAATTCTGTCTTCTTTCAAGCTTCTAATTGTAAATATGGGAAAAAAGAGAGAAAAATGCACTTATATTACATTTATTTAATGTAATGCTTTTCCATTCGTGCTGCCACAGACTAAGAAGGAAAAGGTAAATAAAACCCAGGGACACAATTTGCACCAAACAAGAGTAAAAATAAAATTTGTTTTAAAGTGACAGTTACTTCCCACATAAACGATCAACTCTTGTACGAAAGCTAACAGTCTAGTATGAAAATGTCAAAATTCACATCTCTACGACCTAAATAAGCGAGTTAACTAAGCCCTTGGCCTATCTCACCCTAAGCATGATCTAAGCGTGCCTCGAAGTACACTGAATGACCACTCTTTCCATAAAACAGTTTCAGAGCCCAGCTGTACAAAGAGTGTATGTCAGAGTTTGGATGAAGCTATTGTTTGGTGGCATGTTTTCTTTTTTTTTGTTTTTTTTCTCCTGTCTCTCTCATGCACACACCTCCCATATTGTGAAGGAAAGAAGAATAACTGATCCCCTCACAAAAATAAGCAAACAAAACAAAAAAATTCTGCTGATTTGCCTTTAGGGTAGCTTCTTTTATTCAAGCTGAAAACTCTGTCTGGTTTTTGTTTCTTCCCCTCTTAAGAACTTGGTACTTGGTGTGAGCCAACTAAACAAGAGATTGCCCCAGAAGTGCACAAATGCAAGGTTCTGGTGCAAGGTCAGAGGACAAGTTTCTTATTCTTCATTCTCAGGGGCTATTTTCCACCTTCTGGTGTGCAGTAAATAAATTAGACAAAATCATGTAAGCAAACCCTATATTTCCTATTCCTTACACTGAAGCAGCCACAACGTAAGTAAACAGATCGAAACCATTTTCCACCTGATTCCACCTTGCTGGTGACCACGGCTGGGGTAAATGAACATGAAAACCATTTTCTACATTGCTGCCTTCTTAGCAGTTGAATGGCATTAGCCGGGCGTGGTGGCGCA
This sequence comes from Homo sapiens, assembly GCF_000001405.40. Classification (NCBI taxonomy): domain Eukaryota; kingdom Metazoa; phylum Chordata; class Mammalia; order Primates; family Hominidae; genus Homo; species Homo sapiens. The sequence goes on along the minus strand of NC_000003.12, from coordinate 172,281,390 downwards.
CACCTGCAATCCCAACTACTCAGGAGGCTTAGGCAGGAGATCGCTTGAACCCGGGATGTGGAGGTTGCAGTGAGCTGAGATCGTGCCACTGCACTCCAGCCTGGGCAACAGAGCAAGACTCCGTCTCAAAATATAAATAAATAAATAAATAAATAAATAAATAAATAAATAAATATAAATAATAATAATAAGGCACTCTTGTATAGTGTTTCACACAGAGAAGGGGCATTTTGTTTTGCAGATATAGGCACATTTAATGGTAGGAAAGTTTTTGAAAAGGAGCTAAGTTGGGCGCCTCTAATTCAAACATGGTCAGCTGAGAACCAGCCTATCTGGAAATGCTAAAAAAGGGAAAGGGGGCTCAGCTTAGAGACACAAGTCTTTCTTTTCCCTAAAAACAAATCTCCTACACCAAGGAAATAAAGCATTTTTAGTAAAAGGAAGGTTGAAATAAAAATACACAAGCAAAGCAAATAGTTTTTTTCAAAAAAAAGAAAGAAAGAAAAAACCCACACACATAGAGGGAAGATGTGTCATGTGAAATTTAAATTTTCCATAAATAATGGTTTTCATGTTTGCTCCAAAAAGAAACCTAAGTTCAGACTGTTTGAATAACTGTTAAGACCTAAACTAATTAAAATATCCTCCTTTATAAACATACTTTACTTCTTTGGTTTATTTCACATTTTTTCCTTCTTAGAAAAGAAATAGAGCTACACACTTAGCTACTAGCTATAGAATGTATTTCTGGTTGTAACAGCTCTATCATTCCAATGGGATGACATCAACATTATTTCTCTCTAAACCTTCTGTCTAGTTCTTATCCACAAGGCTCATTTGTAGATATCCCTGTCATAACATCATATGCTTTCTCAGATCTGCCAAGGAGCTGACATAGCTACTCTCTTTAACAAATCATGTATAATGAACTAGGGGCGTGGAAAATGTGTGGCTTCTGATCATGCTCATTTTGGAGATAAGAAGCCTAAAGCCAACAGTAAACAATCAATATGAAAACAAACAAACAAAAAAGAAACAGAAATAAATAATTTTAGGTGAAAACGAAAAATGTGACTACTCAATAATAAGGACAAGCTAGATACCTAGTCAATGCCTACTAATGCTGATAAGCATGAATGGGGACAAAAGAAAACAATATTAAGAATGTGTGTTGATGGCTGGATGTGGTAGCTCATGCCGGTAATCCCAGCACTTTGGGAGGCCAAGGCGGGCAGAAAGCTTGAGCCCAGGAGTTCAAGACCAGCCTAAGCAACATAGTAAGACCCCATCTCTACGAAAAATACAAAAATTAGCTGGGCTTGGTGGCACATGCCTGTAGTCCCGACTACTTGGGAGGCTGAGGTGGGAGGATCGCTAGAACCCGAGGAGTTGAAGCCTGCAGTGAGCTGAGATGGCGCCACTGCACTCCAGCCTATGCAACAGAGGGAGACTTGTCCCCAAACAAACAACAACAACAACAACAACAACAACGAATATGTGTTGAATTGCTTTTCTACTCAGAAAAAGAATATTGGCCATCTTCAATTTTGAAATATTACTTATGCTGGGAAAAAAAGAGGAATCAATAAGCGCATACAAAAGAAGAATTAATTATCTAAGACTCTCCATTTAGTGACTATGATCCACAGTTAGTGGTTTTAAATACAAATATTAAAGATGAGTAAAATCACAACACGAAGAATAAACTTGCATAATATAAGGACAATGCAGTTAATCTCCAAAAACAACTATTCCAGAAATATCTTGAGATATCAATCATCCTGATGCTAAAAATACAAAGATAAACATCTTGCTAGCCATTTCGCTGGTGAAGTGGTTACTCTATTTGAAATCCTGAAAGGTAGCCAAGGGAATACCAGACTCTCAACACCGAAAAAGAAAGCAGCAGGCAGGTAAACATATGTTGCATGCAGTTGCTTTCCATTCCAGGAAAATATTTTCAAGAGCGGCCTAGGTTCCAAACAGGTTCTGGAACCTTAAGAGAAAGGAGAGAAACACAAATGAATTTCTTTTCCAAGCAGTGTGCCCAGCTGGACAGGAGAGATGGCCAGAGAATGTCAATGGGACAACAGGGGCTAATTTCCTCTGAGCTTTTGTTGCTATTTCTGGAATTCACTGGACAGGATGATTTCCCCGCCCCCCGCCCCCCACTCCCCAGGCCTGTGATTTGAGTCAAGCCCTACAGGGAACATTCACATTAACCCCCTCACAGGCAAATGGCCTCCTTCAGGCAAATGCTGTGTAACACCTGGGGTAATAAGAGAGGCAACATGGAGTGCCAGGTCTAGGTCTTTAATGAACTGAAATACTAGTAAGATTCTATGCTCATTTCTGTCAGATTCCCTAAGAAAAATCTTTGTGTTCATTTCACAATGTAAAAATCATGTATATGCATGGAACTGGACAAAAGCTGCTAGTGTTTTTTTTGTTTTGTTTTGTTTTTGAGACAGAGTCTCACTCTGTTGCCCAGGCTGGAGTGCAGTGGTGCGATCTCGGCTTTCTGCAACCTCTGCCTCCTGGGTTCAAGCGATTTTTCTGCCTCAGCCCCCTGAGTAGCTGGGATTACGAGTGTGCGCCACTATGCCTGGCTAATTTTTGTATTTTTAGTAGAGACGGGGTTTCACCATGTTGGCCAGGCTGGTCTCAAACTCCTGACCTCAAGTGATCCACCCATCTCGGCCTCCCAAAGTGCTGGGATTACAGGCGTGAGCCACCACACCCGGCCAAAGGCTGCTAGTGTTTTTAAGAACATCAAATTGTACAGGGATGCAAACCCACAAAAACAGATTAAGTATTAGGTAGATATGTTTGCTTGACAAGATTAACTCTAGCACCAGTCCTTTCCTCTTCTTCCCTGTGTTTTTGAACTGTTCACTGCTAGCTGAACCCTAACCTCTGCCAGATACTGCTCTTGTGTTTTGGGGGAAGGCTCAAGACCATGATTATCCAGCAAGAGCTGGTACCCTCCCTGGGTATGTAACAGGAAAGTAGTCACTTAAACACAGGATAGAACAACTTACAAAGGTAATTAAAGTTCATACACTACTTTTTGCATGGGAGTCTACAAACGTTTCCACAAAATGTTTTTTCATTAGGACTTGGCATACCATATTACATTTTTTCAAGCAGCTTATACAATACTTTTTGCAAGACTGTGCCAACTGACAGGCAGAATCCAGAGTACAATTTCTAATATGTTGCATCTGAAAGATAATTTTAATATGTATATCTCCTATCCAGCAAGTTTTGAACAGTGTTTACATCCACATTTTCTTAATTATGTCTCAGATGACTGAATTATTTGGGAATAAGGCTAGATACTCAGCCTGTGGCCAAGGAGCCAAGTGAAGCTCATCACCTGATATGGGTATCAAATCCAGAGGGCTCAAGAGTTCCAGCATATGAAAAAGTCATTACCATCCATGACACAACCTACTACCACCCCAAGAAATCAGCAAGTGTTACATGTGTGGGTACATACTAAAATGCCTATAGCCACTAGGCAGGTAATATCAATGAGTAAAGAAAGTGGGTATATAAAACAAAAGGGAAGGGTAAGGACTATGGAAAATGGAAAAAACCTCACCCTATCTGAGGGGGGCAGCTGCTATGCAGCCAATCAGTTATTCTTGGTGTATCATGGGTGTAAGGCAGACACTCCCACTTTTCTAGAGAATCTAGAAATGCAAAATTTTATGTGAAATTGCTCGATTTGTAAAAAATACATATTTTAAAACATTTTTAATCTATAGAAAAGCTGGAGCAGTACTATGAACACTGTTAGGGACTAAATGCTTGGTGCCCTCCCAAAATTCGTGTATCTTAAAACCCTACGCGCTAAAGTGATGGCATTAGAAGGTAATTAGAATGAGATGAGGTCATGAGGATAAAGCCCTCATAGATGGGACTGATGTCCTTATAAGGGTACTGAGAGAGCTCGCTTTCTTCTCTCAGCCACACAAGGACATAGCACAAACGTGCCATCTATAAATCAGGAAGACAGACCTCACCAGACACCAAATATGCTGGCACCCTGATCTTGGACTTCCCAGCCTTCAGAACTGTAAGAAATAAATGTTTGTTGCTTAAGCCACCCAATTATAGCTCAGGCTGCTATAATTATAGCAAAACACCTAGATTGCTATAGAAAAACACCTAGATTGGTCAACTTATTAACATTTTGCTACATTTGCATGCTCACATTTGATCTCTACTTATATATACACACACACACGTTTTTTCACAACCATTTGAAAGAAAGTTATTGATCTCATGACATTTCACCCCCAAAACTTCAGCATTTCTTTCCTGAGAACAAGGAGCTTCTCCTACATAAACAAAAACACATTACTACAATCAGATTTAACATTAATCGAATAAATTTGAGATTAAAATCCATGTTAAATTTTGTCAATTGTTCCAATAACATCTTTAATTTTTTTTCTCCTAATTCAGGATCCAATCGAGGACCAAGTATGCATTAGTTGTCAGGTTTTTACTAGTCTCTCTTAATCTAGAACAGAAATCCCTTATACTTTTTATAAAGTTGACATTTTTGGAGCAGTCAGGCCAGTTTTCTTATAGAATATATCACTATCTGTAGTGTGATGCTATTTCCTCGTAATTAGATACAGGCTAAGAATTTTGGGGAAGAATTGTTTACAGATATACTTCCCATCGTATGACATGAGAACATGCACACTGCTGTTTGAACTATTAGGTGATGCTCAGTTTGGTCACTTGCTCAAGGTATTGTGTGTAAAACCTTTCTCCATTGTCAAAGCACATTATGCCCTTTTACCTGACAGTTATAGTAAATACTGATGATCTCTAGCATGTATCATTATATTACAGGTAGTTTCCAGATGGTGATTTTTCTAATTCTGTTATTCCTTCTATGTTTATTAGTTCTCCCTCCCACTTTTCAAAGTATCTTGAACCCAGATTCTTTTTATTTTAATTCAATGTGTTAAAATCTGCTACACTCCACCACCATCATTATTTTTTGGACACTAAATTTGCCCTAAATGTAGCCAGCAGGAGGCTCTTCAAGCTATCTTCTGGGCCTCTTTGTCCACTTCCTTGTGACTTCTGGTTTGGAACACCTGTTAAATATTCTAATTTAAGATTAGATGGCCAAACAGTAACAAGACACAAAGTGCCACTAGACTGCAAGTGAGAGATTTCAGTGGCATAAAGTAGAAATTATCCAAACATTTTGGATTTGTTAAAAGCTACTCTTACCCAAGGATCTTCTTACTTAAATGTGACTAGAAAAAGAAAACCATCTAAACATTTCTATCTTCTATATCTTCCAGAAAGCAGAAACAAAGCAAACTCATAACCCAAAAGCTATCTTAAAATGATCTTTTAAAATATATCCAACTTGAAATCTAGAAAGTCAAACATAAACTATAGTAAACTAAGCAGAAAAACATAGAACAGATTTGCCTCTTTTGGGATTGTATAATTTCTGCTCTCAATTTAATCTGGTGGTATTTCATTTCTTGCTCTCCCTAATCAACACTTCCCTTTAAAAAAAAAACCAGATAATCAAAAGTGACAGCACCATCTGCCCTAGTCCAGAAAAGAAAAATGCACTGTCTTCTAAATGCACTGAACTGAGAAATGAACTAAAATGAAAAGTTAAGATTGGGCCAGCAGGCAAGAAATGTCTATACGGAAAATGCTACTTGCAAGAGGTTGTTCTCCAGAATTGCAACCACTCTGAGGAATAGAAGCTCTCTGGTATTACAAGCTTTTCCATTTTATTCTCTAAAACATATTATGATAGAACAGACATCCACAAATCCAGGGTCAATGTAAAAGAAGTCCTGAATTGTTTTCAAGCCTACCTACTCTAGGCCAAAGCTATGCACTATTGCTATCTCATTCTAAGTCTTTAATAACATTTATATTATTTGGAACTTATTCGGTTTCTGTATAAAATAAAGGATTCTCTTAAGCCCTGCAGATGGATTTCTGTTGTCCAAATGAGCTGCCCTTGTTGTTCAAAACATGACATTCATCATAGGCCTTAATGTCTTCTGCATGTATATTTCCCCCCCTCAGAATGAAACTAGTGTTCTATTTAAAGATGCAGTTTAAAAAGTCCAAGAGCTGAAATACTAGATTTACACCCCAAATTGGCTCTGTAATGGCACCACTTAGTAGCCATATTTCACTCTACAGACGATAAACCACATTCATCTGATCTCCAACTCCTAACAGCTGAGGTGTATAAACCCTAGACAACAGTGAGCTTATTGAGCCCAAGAGGCAGTTGTGAGCAAAAGCGGCCATTTAGGTCATGGACTAATCTGGGTGAGAAATAAAAACACACAAGAGGAAAATATAATAGATAAGACAACAGAAAAGAAAAAAAATGGATGACCAAAAAAATCTGGATTGGCCCCCCAGTGCCTCAGAATTTGACTATATTTGGAGATAGGGCCTTTAAAGAGGTAATTAAGTTAAAAAGAGCTCATCAGGGTGGGCCCTAATTTAATATGACAGGTGTCCTTAGAAGAGGAGGAAATTCGGATGCAGACACACACAGGGAAGATGATGTGAAGACAGAGGGAGAAAATGGCCATCTACAAGTCAAAGACAGAGGCCTAGAATAGATCCTTCCCTCATGGCCCTGAAGGACCAACCCTGCCAACACTGCAGTCTGACTTCTAGCATCTAGAGCTGTGAGAAGATAAAATTGTGTTGTGTAAGCTACCTAGTTTGTGCTACTTTGTTATGTCAGTCATCACATACCAATACACATACCAAACATATGCAAATACATATTAGATATTATTATACCCATTTACTAGATATAGATTCAGCAAATCAGAGATTTTATGAATCTGGTCAAGATCGCACAGGAAAATCTAAAAGAACCCAGTATCAAATCCTCAGGTCTTCTTGTCTTCTGATTTTCGGTCCAAGTCTACTTCTTCTTGGGGGCCATCCAAAACCTCTTCTCCTGCCATCTCCTGTGTCCAAAGGTAACAAGGGTAAGGCGGGGAGATCAACTCTACTTAAGATAAACAAATCTATCCGCTGGAAGAGACTGCTAGACTACTTGGTTCAGGATAAAATAATTACATTAGAAGTTTAAACATGTTTATACTACTGCTTCTGTAAGAGGCCATATCCAATTACAGAAGGTCAGTTTGGAAATCCAAAGAGAAGCTACTGAAAGCCATTTCAAAAGCTGGTCAAGAAAGACCATATCCTATAATAATTCTCCAGATTACTTCATGCCAAAGCATCGGTAATATGTCCTCTTCTCCCGCACGTATAGAAATGGAACACTCAGGATGTTCTGAGGCTAGAACACTGAGGATCATGCAGTAATTGCTTCCAAAAGACATGTTACAGTATTTTTTGCTGCTGACTGTGGCTTTAGAGAAGAAGCACACACCGGTTCCAAAAGAACAGAGACTATCTCAGACCATAAACTACCGCTGTTTGTTGTGCGGCACCACCTGAAATATCCCTGTGTTGTTTTCTTCCCAACCAGCTAGTACAGAATGTATCCGGGCTGCTCAACTTATTTACGGCTCCAGATGTTTTTCTGTATTTGAAGAAACTCCACCTTAGCAGCCATTTCTCTAAAGTCTTTCAGTAAGGATAAAGAGGTGCTAAACTGTAGAGTGGACACTAATTCCATTGTTAAATAAAGTAACAACCACTAACATAAAGTGTAAGTTAATGTCTTTGTATCTGTAGACAAAAGTTCCTAATTTGACCTTCCTAGCAGCCACTGGATGAAAGTCTCACAAACACCTTCCTTTGTGGAGAAAACACTAATCTACCCAGAAAATGTGGTCTAGGCTTATGTTTCTGAGGGGGCAAACAGTTGCTCTGTGCATGTATAAGGCCCCTATATTATGATCAGATAGAATGAACAGAGAAGTAGTCATGGGTGCGGGGAATATACAGGGAGCAGGGAGCCTGTGATTAGGTAACAGAGCCAATGAAGAAGGTGGCTTTAGGGGACTTTTTTTCTATGACACAGGAATTTCTAGTAGAAATGAACACAGAAAAAGCTGAAGAAACTGATGGAATCAAGCATTTCTTTAAGAAGCAAGTAGTTATATTGTCTAGTTGCAATTACTGTGAACCAGTCTTCATTGTTCAAATTTAAAATATATTTCTACATTTTGAACGAAAGGTAAAACCATTTCCTACTTATTGTGCTGTTAATAAGTCCATTATTAAATAGTTGGTTTCTGAAATGAAATTCTGAGTATGAAATTGTACAACTAGAATTTTAAATGATGCCATCTAAATGAGGAACCTATTAAGGCTCATCATCTCCAACAATTAAACGATCGTACTTGCCCAGAGTTACAGTCCAGGAAGATAAAGTGAAATAAACTAGAGAAAAAGCAAAGAAGTTTTGTGCAGATTTGAGTTTACAGCTACCTCAGATTGTGAAATTATAAGCATTCCATCTGCTCACCAGCTGTGGTTCCTAATCCTCTTTAATAACTTCAGCTTGCACAAGTCCATGAGAATCAAGACATCTTCCAAATTTCATTTTACACTAGTTGCCAGGATTGATTTTTAGACACTGGCTTCCAATGAAAGCAGCCTAAAGTTGATTTCCCTAGCAGGTGTTAATTTTCAGAGCAGTGAAAGGAAATGAGAAAAGAGACTAAGAGTGGAAAGAAAGAAATTAAGGAAGTTCTAAGATCATCATATTCGGTTTTTAGGGTTCTATGCTCTTCAGCAAAACCCAAAGGCTCAAATACAGAATAGTCTCCTGAAATGTGAATCTAAAAATTCCCTAAAACATGTAAAAAGCAACATATTAAGTAAGATCATTTCCAGGTGGGTCTGAAATAAGGTTTATTTCCTGTAGCAGCCAGTCCTTCTCCCCACTACAGCCCATCAGCTCTCAGATATCTCTGGTCACTGACCAGAGATGTGGTCTCAGAGCTGTGACTGTTCCCCACTGCCACAAAGGTTACTTTTCCTTAAGGTATTTAATCTTAGGGCAGTTTCTGGCTTGGTTTCATAACGGGAGGTCCTTATAGCCTAACCCAGGAACAGAAAAGGTGTTCTACACAGACAATACCCAAATTTTATTAAAGTTGCAAGCAGGACTCATGGTTCTGTGTTTTACTACTTTTAAACTCCAAAATACCTTTCCAGTCCCCACTCTCTTATAGCTATTATACAGAGTATGAGAAAAAATGATTTATTTCTGACTTTTGAGATTGGTGACAATCTTGTTTTCAGGCAAACACAGGTTTATAATCTCTCCATATTTTTAGTTTAGACTGCTGGAATATTAAGAAAAAGCAAAAATTACCCATCTCTGCTTAAGCCCAACGGTGATCTAGACCCTAGTAACAGTATCAGCAAGGGCTACGATGTGTTTCCTATTCACACATGTTCTACCAGAACAAGACCATATCTTAGGCTACATAATCCAGGTTTTCTCTTCTAGAATGCCATTATTAGGAGGCCTTCTGAACCAAGATGGCAGTGTCTATCCTTGTTCCAAATTGTCAGTGTACTACCCGGTACAGAATGCTTGCATGCGTGGATGGTGTCTCCAGCAATAATTCTCAAAGCAGAGCCTGTTGCTCTGCCTTGCACTGAACGTTTGGAAAAAGATGGCTCTCCACGTCTGCACGGCTTTCTGATGCAGACTTGACGTTTACCTAAGAACTCTCTCATAGGAGCATGGAGACCAGTTAAGGCAGCCCCAGCTGGCAGAGCCAAGTGGGAATGAGTAGGTCAACAGGCCCTAGCATTGGCAAAAGCGGTCAAAAAGTCAGGTTCCACAACATTTCCCAACAATTAGAAAAGAATGTTTTCATCTTCTTTTTCATCAGAATAAGAGCGCATAAACCATTCTGAACAACAACAACAAAAAATGTGCTGAGTAATATTAAAGTTATGATACCATTTTTTCAAGATGTTTTTTATAAAAGTCCTAAGAAATCGGAACTACTGAAGAGAGCTGGTATCTAAAAAAATTCCCAAACTATGTAGGAAATCAATAGTTTAAAACAAAAGGTTGAAACAGTTTCTATATTAAAACCTTGTTTTAATACTCCAAAATAGGTCTGTTGCTATGCAGTCAAGAGTATCTGAGTGAAATTTTAATTTCTATGAATTACATGAAATGTAATGAAAATTGGATAGGTGAAAACACAAAGTCCAGGTTCTACCTAAGGGTAAAAGCTAATGATAGTGGAAATAATACTAGACTGCCAAAATAACTCTACAAACACCTAAAGAGGCTCGTTCTTACTAAACAAAAATGGAGAGAGCAACGATGACAGTTTCTTGCATTCATCTGGCTGGAAGGAAATACAAGACCACATTTATAGGAAAGGCCTTCATTTGTGGGGCTGAAATAGGCTTACCATAGAATTCTTACCTGGCATTTCAGTTCCTCAAAAAAGGGTTTCATACTGACTGTGCTACATGCTGTGCAAGACTGGCATTCAAGCACACATAATGAACTATCTGGTAACTCTTTCCAACTGCAATGGAATTCTGTATTTTAACCCAAGTCTTATAAAATGAAATTTTTTAGATGAAAAGCAAATTTAGCAATTCGTATTATCTATAAAAGATGTCTGGAAGTCCCCTTGAGTGAGCTCTGCATGTTATCTTCTGCCAACTCCAATCTGTTTCCAATATAGTCAAGGGTGAACTCTTGCAGGAGAATATAGAAAATGTACACAAACAAACACAATAGAGTCAGCTAGTGGTGGGTGTCATGAAGAATATGTAGAGAAGCGTGATGTGATGAAGTAGTCCAAGAAGGTCTCTCTGACCCTGAAGCATTTGGGCTATGCCAGGAAGGATTGGGAGGATTCTACTATACAAAGTATAAAAGAACTTTCCAAGAGAGAGAATAGAGAGGGCAAAGGCACTAGGGCAGAATGGGCCCCACATGTTAGAGAATTGGAGAAAGTATGCTGTGTGGCAAGGGCACAGAGAACTGGAGCAGGGCTGGAAGAAGGCGCATCAGGCAGCAGCCATAGTAGAGTTTGCACTGTATGCTAAGTTCGAAAGGAAAACATGGGGGTTTTAATAAAAACTTCACCCAGCTGCTGTGCAGAGAACGAATTTTAAGGGAACAACAGCTAAAGCAGTGAGACCAGCAAAGAGAGTAACACTCTATTTTACCCATTTAAGCTCTATGTAAGTGCACATGTGCACACGCAAGCACAATATTACAAAACAAGCACTACAATAACATTGGAAATTTAGGAAAACAGTCAAATTTAATGAAATATGTTTTGGATATACAGAAATGTGTTACTTGTCTCACAATAATTGATGTCATTTTCTAGACCTAACTTTTTGTATACAGTATTAATATCTAGGAAGAGTTGCCACTCAAGTGACTAAGAATATGTATTTGATGAAATGTCCTATAAAAAAGCACAGATTTAGGCCGCGTGCGGTGGCTCACGCCTGTAATCCCAGCACTTTGGGAGGCTGAGGTGGGCGGATCACGAGGTCAGGAGATCGAGACCATCCTGGCTAACACTGTGAAACCCTGTCTCTACTAAAAATATCAAAAAAAATTAGCCAGGCATGGTGGCACGCACTTGTAGTCCCAGCTACTTGGGAGGCTGAGGCAGGATAACCGCTTGAACCCGAGAGGTGGAGGTTGCAGTGAGTCGAGACTGTGCCACTGCACTCCAGCCTGGGCGACAGAGTGAGACCCTCTCTCCAAAAAACAAAACAAAACAAAACAAAACAACAAACAAAAAAACCACACAGATTTGTAGTACAGTTGGCTCTACAATCTGAAGAATCCAGAATAGGCTGGGGGCAGTAGCTCATAGGTGTAATCCCAGTACATTGGGAGGCCAAGACAAGGGGATCACTTGAGGCCAGGAGTTCAAAACCAGCCTGGGCAACATAGCAAGACCATCTCTACCAAAAAAAAAAAAAAAATTTTTTTTAATTAGCCAGCCATGGTGGCACATGCCTGTGGTCCCAGCTATTCAGGAGGCTGAGGTAGGAGGATCACTTGAGATGCAGTGTTTGAGGCTGCAGTGAGCTATGATCATGCGACTGCATATCAGCCTGGATGACAGAGAGAGCCTAGGAAAGGAAAGAAAAAGGAAAAGGAAAGGAAAGAAAAAAAAATATGGAGATTTTAAAATAGGAAGAAAGTTGTGAATCACAATATGCACATTTCTTTGTAGTCTGAAGTTGTCCTTGTTTCTAATGCTGCTGACCAGGAACATACTATAGTGGAGACTGTAACGTTCTAGACAGCAAGTAATACCAAAAGCAGTAAGTCATATTCTCTCCACTTAAGATTTCAACATATTTCCACGAATGCTATGGCTCAAACAAACAAAAAAAAGCCAAATACTATTAAATGGAAAATGTATTTCAGACTCCAGAACTATTCTCAAATAGTAAAACAATTTAACAGACACACTTAAATAGTTTTTCCCAAAGTCCTTTATTTTTCTCATTTAAATTGATTCCAAAAGGAACTGGCAGGGCATGGTATATGCTGCAAGTGACTGATATTTGTATGGAAAAATCACATAAGTAGCTAAAACCAAAGGATCATGAGCATGGGTAGAACTAAATGGCTTGAATTAGACAGATCCAATTTTTTAAATGCATGGAAAGATTGGAGAAACTATTCCAGAGAGGTAACATAATGTGATCTCCCCTCAGCTTTGCCTCTCCTCTATTAAGGTCCTAGCAATACCACGAAAGTTGATTATACAACTGAACTACCTTAACTTGAGCCTGGCTACACGGAGAGCTGTGATCTACATGACTTGTATTTTTTATCCCTGATTTCTCTATTCCCATGTACAGAGTGTCATGGTATTTGTATCTGCCGTTCTCTGTCACATATTATCTTGGCTGATACCACATGATCCAGCTGAGTTCTCAGGTCTGGCCAAAACACTTTTTCCCCCACTTCTTGGTATTATTTCTTCTTGCCCTATTTATACAATCAGGGCTTTGTAGTTCAACTTCATTATTCTCATCAACTTTTGTTTTAGAACTCTTTGTAACTCTAATTACTGTCCAGGTAATTTTTGAAACCCACAGCAAATACAGAGTTTTAACTAATTTGTTCATTTAACTAATGATGCACTGATGTTTAAACTATATAATTAAGTATGCTTGACTTTGATGTATACATTATTTTCCGCCAAGTATGACAGGATTAAAAAATTCTGGAGGAGAGAAAAATCTCAAATGACTTAAAATAGTACTTCATATGTAGTTAAAATCTTCTATGTCTTTTCAATTTAGGCAAAACACCCACTGAAGGGTGAAAAAAGAAATCTAAGATACAAGTTTATTACAATGGGCAATAATTATTAAAAACACAAGGCAGATAACAGGGCTTTAGAATTTGTCACCCACTTGGCATATGACACCTCAGGGTCCACAGAAATCTTCTTCAAAATTAAATTAATTATTAGACTCTGCCTACATGACAGCCATCAGAGAAAAGACACCTCTAATCAATCTATTATAACATTAGCTATTTAGTGTAATATCCAATGAGTACCAGCTTTATGTAATTTCCCTGAGGGCTATTTAACATTTACGGGACATAAGATTCATTAAAGATTACTTTTAAACTTTGTAAATCTTATCTCATGCTCCCTGAAAACAATCTTACTTACTTTTTAAAGAAAATATATGTTCCAAATCAGATAGGTTCATTTCACTTCTTCTTGGGAAATGCCATGAGCTCCGGTCATCATTTAAAAGGAATTATACAGATTCTGATATTTAACTATTAAATATGCCCTGAAAATACACAGCCGCCATTTTACATGTGAATACACATGCACGTCCACAGCACAACTCACTTCTATTTCCAGCACAGTTGTTATAGCATTCAGCTTTATGAACTGCTTAAACTAGCTTAATTTACTGTGCATAGGCTGGGCATGGTGGCTCACACCTGTAATCCCAGCACTTTGGGAAACTGAGGCAGGAGGACCCTTTGAGCTCAGGAGTTCAAGACCAGCCTGGGCAACATGGTGAAACCCTGTCTCTACAAAAAATACAAAAATTAGCCAGGCATGGTGGCACATGCCCACAGTCCCAGCTACTTGGGAGGCTGAGGTGGGAGGATTGCTTGAGCCAGGGAGGTCGAGGCTGCAGTGAGCCAAGATCACACCACTGCACTCCAGTCTGGGTGACAGAGTGAGACCCTGTTCAAAAAAAAAAAAAAAGTGTGTGTGTAGATTTCCCTACGTAAACTGCTTCTCTAAAGAGAGGAGGTAGCTCTGCTAAATGATTCTTGGCCTGTGTTAGTAGAGACAGATACTTGCTGCTGCTATTGTACCTTTGGATGAAATTAACTGCAGCTCACTAAAAAGCATATAGCGGATAGTAGGTAGTAGATGTTGTGGAAGGTGAGGGTGTATCAATCAGACCTAGGATGCAGCCAAATGGGCTGGCTCAGCCAGGTTTCTAGAACACAGATGCTGGAAGGAGACTGTGGTGGTTGTGAATGTTACCCTGCAAGGAATAGTCTTTGGAGATATGATTAGGTTAAGGATTCTGAGATGGCAGATTATCCTGAGTTATCCAGATGGGACCTAAATGAGATCACATGTATTCTTATAAGGCAGAGACAGAGGAAGACTTAACACAAACAGAGGGGAAGAAAAGAGCAGAGAGATTTGAAGATGCTGGTCTTGAAGCTGGAGTGATGTGGCTACAAGCAAAAGAGTGCCAGCATCCACCTGAGGCTGGAAGAGGCGAGGAACAGATATTTTCCTAGAGCCTCCGGAGGGAGCTCGGGCCTACCAATACCTTGATTTCACCTGGGCAACAATGATGTTGGGCTTCTGAGCTCTACATTCTCTCCAGAACTGTGATAGAATAAATTTCTGTTGTTTTAAATCACTGGCTTTGCCAGGCACGGCGGTGTATGCCTATAGTCCCAACTACTCAGGAAACTGAGGTGGCAGAATGCTGTGAACCCAGGAGTTAGAGGCCAGTCTAGGCAATACGGCAAGACCCCATCTCTATGGGGGAAAAAAAAGAAGCACCAGCTTTGTGTGTGCTGATTTGTTAGTCACAGGAAACAAACACAGAGCCCATCAGAAGTATGCCTCCATTGTGTTAACCTTCTCTGTGGACAGTAGTCATTACAATATGAAAAGAAAAACAGTGAAGAAAATTGGGCCAAATCAAAGGAACTGAGCTCAAGTGGCAAGACTGTGCTAGAGTTTATTACAAATTTATTTTTAATCCATTCTCCTATTAATACAGAACTGAGGCTTGTTACTGAATTTTTAGGGTCTGATGACAGACTAGGTCACCACATGGTATTACCTCAAATTGAGCAGAGGGATAAAAAAGATTGAGAATACTGACATTTATCCCCACTCAAATGCAGTTACCTAGTCAAAAAATTCATCCCTATCTTTTTCTTTTAACTTATTGTTCTTCCCATCTTGTGCATTAAAATAATTCAGAAATGCTGAGGGAACATCTGCTCACAACAAGGCAGCAGGAAAACAGACAATATGCTTTCTAATAAGCCTGGTGGTAGAATGTTCTTTTGGTAGTAGGTACTATGTACAGTGTCCGTAAATCTAGGCCTGAAAACATTCCCTGAAGACTTATGAAATTGAATAAAACTGAAAAATTATACACAAGAGTTCCCACAAAACATTCAGTTCTCAAATGCTTCAAATTTTTCTCTTGAATAAAAGTAATTTTCCAGGAACAAAACTACTACCTAAATAAAGTATAATAACATAATTGTCACCTATAATTACCAATTGTCTGGGGATGGTTTATTTTCAATGTTGAAGTCTCAGTCACCAGCATTAATCAATAGGACTCTAGCCACCATTTCAAGTAAACATCTTGGGCACTCATTTTATTCCTTCATATCTTTATAAAATCCAGTATCTCCTGCCTTAAACAGATTATTGATCTACTGCTCCCCTGAAAATATCATTTTTAATATCTATTTGCAAAAAACATCCTAGCAGTGGACACATTACCTGAGTTCTTTGATGTTCACTGTTTTCTCTCCCTAAACATTTTACTGTATTTTGACACTGAAAGTAAAAACAAAACAAATTCTAGCATACCAACAGCTGAGACACAGAGTAGAGATATACTTTGTATAGATACCTATTAATTATCTTTCATATTGATGTGTGGAATATTAAGTTGAAGCATGTAAAATTTCAACTATTTTTGATCTATAGAAATAGTAGTTTCCCACCTACAGAAATAGTAATCTACCCAATATTACAAATGAACCCTAGAGATAATTTCTGAGAATCATTTTAAGTTTCAGGTTTTCCACACACACCAAATGTTTATCAGAGCTATTGACAAGCCGCACTTGGATATATTCTCCCTTATCCTCTTATCGAGGTTGTTTACCTCCTACTGAGATCATTAAAGATAAAAATGGACAAAAGGAAGGAAATGGAAATAAGATGACAAGGACAATCTAGCAACTGGACCATGCACCCTTATTAAAGAAGGGCAGTTAGCTTATCTGAAATGCTTCCTTTTCCTTGGATGCACTCAATGAGCTTGTAACATAGTCTTAAAATAAGAGCAATTATTGAAACTTTCTTCTTCAAAAGTAAATAGGTTGACAGCTATGACAACAATCTAGTATTAAAAACATCCTTCTCATGTATCGTTATCATTTTCTATTTCCTTACCCAGTTCAAAATGCAAAATAAAATAAAAAATACCTCAGCAGTACATGAATGAATGAAAGTGTTGAATTTTAAAAGTCCATTTATAGTATTACTGATGATAAATATGGCAAGTCTTGGAAGCCAGATATACAGAACAGGAGAGAGGGGTAGAGAATTCATAGAATCTAAAAATGCAAGAAACAAACATATAAAATAGAAGAAAAAGAGATGAATGAGAATCCTAATTTCTGGGTACAAACATCCCACAGATTATTCAGTTCAGAAAACCAAGTTCTGAAATCTTAACTATAAAGGCTAAGATTTAGATGATTACTGTATCTCTCATTCCAACTATGGGTAGCAGGGCCATAGAACCTGCTGTCCTTGACATTATTTAAAAGAAATGATGCAGGGCTGGGCGTGGTGACTCACGCCTGTAATCTCAGCCCTTTGGTAGGCCGAGGCGGGAGAATCACTTGAGCCCAAGGAGTTCGAGACCACCTGGGCAACAAAGTGAGACCCTGTATCTACAAAAAATAAAATAAATAAAAAGAATTAGCCAGGTGGGGTGGCACATGTCTGTAGTTCCAGCTGCTCAGAAGTCTGAGACAGGAGGATTGTTTGAGCCAAGGAGGTTGAGGCTGCAGTGAGCTGTGATAGCGCCACTGCACTCCAGCCTGGGTAACAGAGCAAGACCCTGTCTCTCCCCCAACCCATAAAAGAAAAGAAAATGAAGAAATGACACAGAAAACAGGCATGGAAGCACTGCAGAGTCAGGCAGATCAGGAAATCCTACTGATTCTATGATGCATGTATGTTTACTACCTAAAAGATCATCTTTCTTCAGAGGAATGCTAATGCAATAGCAACTTACCTAACTTACTCTAAACAGTCCTCATGCGTAATGTTGTAGATGATGTTGAGACCACTATACCCAGAGATTAAACTCTATAGGGAATAGTACTTCCCAGACATGAAATTCTTCAATGAAATGAAGATATAGTTTTCAAATTGAAAACTGTCTACAAGTACATTGGAGCCATCTTCCCATGGATGATAGTGTAAGTAGTAAATAATACGAATGCTGTCAGTGTGTCAAAAAAAAAAAAAAAAAAAAAAAAACACTTGATAGCTGAATAATTAAGGCACCCATAACCATTTTTCACTTAAGTAACACATCATTTTTAACAAAGCTTTCAAGAGATGCTGGTATATTACAGAGTTCCTTGGAGCAACATTCCAACAAAAGATAAATCTTCCTGAAAGACTAAATATGAATTTTTTAAAAATGTGCTTGGCAAGACACTTAAATAGTTTTGAGGAACTCAGTGAACCTAAAATATGGCAGTTTCTCCATCCCTCCTGGTTTGAAAGATCGTACTGTTCCATACAATAATTTGTGTCTTTTCAAATAAAAAGGAAAAAAGGTCAATGGAAGTTCACCATGTGAATTAAGAGAAGCAGTAATAAATGCATTTATGAAAAAAAATTTTTAACTGTTGTAGACCTAGTTCTTCCCACTCACTTCCTCATGTTGCTTTCATGAGGTAATTCTAATAAGTCTAGAAAGCAAGAGTTGATTATTTCACAGAAATGCCATATATATATATATATATTTATATATATTGCTTTTTATTACATACCAAGGGGATATGAGAGTGAATTTGGTTTTAAGAGGACTTGAAATAAGCATGACATCTTCATTTAAAACAAGCTGCTTTTGACAAAGGCATACTAACCCAGCAATAAAGGAAAAGTGCTGCCCTCTCTCCCAACTTTCTAGTGCTTTTTTTTTTTTTTTTTTTTTTTTTTTTGAGTCGGTCTCACTCTGTCATCTAGGCGAAAGGGCAGTGGCATGATCAACACTCACTGCAGTTTTGACCTCCTGGCTTCAAACAATGCTCCCATCTCAGCTTCCCAAGTAGCTGGGATTACAGGCATGCCCACCACATCCAGCTAATTTTTTTTGTCAGAGATGGGGTCTTGCTATGCTGTCCAGGCTGGTCTTGAACTCCTGGGCTCAAGCAATCCTCTCGCCTTGGCCTCACAAAGTGATCCTCCCATGCCTGGCATCTTGTGCTTAATTTTTAACTTAAAACAAAAAATAAAAAAAAAAATTCTCAATTTCCAGTTTTTAAGCACATCAAAACTCTAAAATATCATTTTAACAACTTCAAGTCATATTCAAAAAAACCTAATACCTCCGTATAGTGTACTGCTACTCCTTGCAAAGTTCTACTTAAGACTTCACTTTTATTTTGTTTATCACATTAATGCATGCTGGCAGTGGATGCTCTAATCCAGCACAAGAGGTAGACAAAAGCATCAGGAAACTCCAAATAGGAAAAGAGTAGGAGATGTATTCACATGGAGATTTGTTCCAAGTGGATCTGCCAGCAGAAGGGCACATGGACCACAACAGGGCAAAAAGGCTTTCCCCGTCTCCACCCAACCCCTCTGGGAAATGTTAACCTAGTAGGAGGAATAGAATATACAATAATGGAACCATGAAACCTCTCTTATTTTCTGCCCATTTTTTTCCCAAATTATCTTTATTCCACAGTCTATCCAATCATCCCTGCCCACTGTGTGCTCCTTTCATTCCACTTGTTTTCCTGTTCTTACCACTTCCTTTTATTTCAATGTGCCATTCCTCTGAAGCCCTTCTCATTTCTTTCCAGTCTCGTTATTTTCCAGTCTTCCTGAACCATCACAATTCTCTTTTATGCTTGGAGCAAATCATCCCCACCATGACCTGGTCTTTTCTGGCCTTTTCTGAGAATAACACCTACATGGAAAGTCCCCTTCTTCTGATGCAGCTGGAAAGAAGCAGTTACAATCTGGAATGGGGAAGGGAATGGCAAGGGGAAGAGTTTTTTAAAAAGCAAATTCAGAGAAAAATGAGGAAATGTTATAGTCAACTATGGGGAGCATTTCACTTATTACTTTGTAAATTGCATGCACTGAGCTATTATGTGGGTACAACAGTAATGGCAAAACCCACAATTATTTGTGCACCAGCCTAATAGAATCACTGTTGTTTCCCAGGGACCTTTCCCACATCACACTTGTGTTATCTACTCAATTCCTAGAATTTCAAAGTCTCACTACAGCACCAAAAACTGAAATACGGTAATAGCGTCTGCTACACTGTGTGTCTGGTTGAGCAAATTAAATTTAAAATAAAAGCCACAGCTGACCATGGCAGAAAGCATGAAGAATAATGAACATATTTGTAGTATAGACTATAATTATCACATTACAATACTGATCATACAAAACCAGAAGTTCAACACCCTGCCTCTTGACACTGCAGTTTATGTAAAGATCCTAGAGCTCCATTCCACAGAAGGAGAAGCAATGACAAAATCGATGTTGACATAGCAGCAGGAAATTTGCCAAAATTCCATCACAAATGCTGAGACTCTTTCAGATAAGGTATTAACAGAAATGGTTTCCACCTCGACATACCTGGTAGTCAGCCTCCATGATGCCTCGCCACCCCCATGATCTACTTAAACCTAGTGCTGACCCCTTCCGCAATGTAGCAGGGCAGGTCTATGCAGCCCACAGAATGCGGAAGACATGGTGTACAAGTTGCCAGGTGTAAGGAAAGGTTGTGAAAGACTTGGAAATTTAGTGGGTTACCCAGTTAGTTTATCCATCTAGCTTAACTAATTGCCCTAATGCAAGGAATGTGGGTGGGAGAAAAATAAATATAGAGAAGTTGTTGTTTGCCCATCGCCTCCAGCTAATGTCCCCTGAAATCTCCCCCTTTTAGCAAAGTAACTTAGAGTGGTTAATTTGCTGAGTGGGTTCAAACAGAATCAAGCAGGCCTGTCAGACCCCATTCTGTGGGCTCACACAGAGAATTCAACCAGAGAGGTGACAGGGAAAAAGCACGGAGAGAGGACTGCATTTTATTCTTGCCCAGAATTCAGCAGGTTGTTTGTGGGTTGGCAATAGTCCGAGAACCTTTTTTGGGGAGTGGATGCCCCTCTGAACTCTCCCCTATCTCAAGTCCTTGGCATTCACTATTACTTAACACTGACCCAGCCTGCAGGACGCCTTGCCCAACAGCATTCTGATGGGCATGCTCACAAGCTGAGGTTATAATAAAATGGCCCACAGAAAGCAGTTCTCACAAGGAAAAAATCTCATGGTCTTTCTTCACCAATACCACTACATTTTTAAAGCACTTAGTGTCTGAAATTGTACTAAGAGCTGATGATAGTCCTCTGAAAGAGATGCCATTAATTACCCCTATTTTCTACATACAAGAAAGAAATGAAGCCTTGAAAGATGAACTATCATGCCCAAGGGCACATAGTTCCCAAGTGGCTGAATTGAGACTAAACCAAGATCTGCAAGGTCCCAACTAGTACATATTTTAAATATGCTTCTGAGTATGGCACTTTTGTGATGACGATCTCTAACCCAGTTAAATTCAGAATTCAACTTAGCTAAATGAAAGAAATAACATATAGAAGTTTCAAATCAATAAAATTGAAGGTTACAAATATACCAGAAACAAACCATATCATCACTTATACCTGCTGTTTAAAGGGTTCTTTGGGATGACATTTATTTTACCAACATGGGTTCTGATGTCATCTAAATGCTGTCATGATCAGTTCCCAAGAAAGCAAAAAGGCAGAGAAAATAACATGGGTTTACAGAGTTCAGTACTACATATGGTAAAAACTAATCAAAATTCTGACCTCAAACTTCTGGTGAACATTCATTTCAAAAGAAAACTCAACGAATTATTTTTGCATGCTTTTTGTCTTTATATGCAAGTGAAAAATGTGAAGCTTCAAGTATGATTTAATGGGTTAAGACTTCTTAACTTGACATGACAAAAATATCTCATTTTGCCTGTTGAAAGAATCATGTAGTAAACATCTTTAAAACATTCCAGATTGCAACAAAAATACGAGGGGGAAAGGGCAAAAGGCAAAAGATAGGATAAGTGATGTAACTTAATAAAGACAATTATATACTCTACTAATTAACAATTTGGGCCACCATGGTTTCCTCTTTGTTGAGCTGTAAATTTGCCTTTGCACTAGTAAAATCAACATCCCAGTAAGAGGGAAAAAAATCATCATAAAGGGGTCTTACAGAAAAGTAGTTATTCACAGTTTGATTTCTCCAGCCTTGGGCCTGCAGGATAAGGCCCAAGTCAGAAAGCGCATGTTAATGAGCAGCATGCTCCTTATGAAACAGGCTTCTGTCCCCAGAACTATCTCCATCCCACACATAGACAGTTGCAAGGCGTTCAAGTGCGCTCGGCCCCTAACTAGAGTCACTCAGAGGCCTCTATAACTAAGCAGAGAGATCTGGCAGCCTACGCTTGAAATGGAAGTGGCGATGTTAATTGTCCAGTTTCCTGCCAAGAAGAATGCCTCATGTCTCTTGCATTCTAATCCAGGGGTCCCCACTGTCCTTTGAAAAAATAAAAGTTATTTGGGCTTGTTTGGACTATTTTTACTTTTCAGACTGTAATTGGCAGCCAGATGGATGAATTCCACTGACCTGAGCTCACTTTTAACTTTTCTCATGTTTTCTTGATATTTTTGCAATACTCAGAATTTATATGCAGCTATAGACAGGTGAAAAAACACAGGATTCATCATCACCTATAGACTTGAGAGATAAAGCAATATTAAAAATGTATCTAGAAACAGTACAGTGTTCAAATGCAGTAAGGGAAGCAGATACTCTGGGGGAAAAGAAGAACCCTGCCAACTCCAGCCTTCCAAAACACCTCGTCTGAGCATGCCTAGGATATGTGCTCACAAGACAGAAAAAGCTTACAAGAGAAAGAGGAAATCTGCCACTTGTGAAGTGCAAAAGCCCTACTAAATATCCTACTTTAATCAGAAAACAGAAAAGCACAAGCATTATCTGTTACAGGGAGCCAAGACCAAAGAGATTCCAAAAGAAAATCTGTCTTGACTCCCAACATTCCAGACCTTATTAACATTAAGCACGTCATTCCAGACAAAGGAAACCACTGTCAGCCCTGCGCAGGTGGATGCTGCTATGCCCTCCCAGAGCCCAAGCCATTCAGCAAAAGGATAGACTCCAAGGACCCAAAAATATCCACAGTCTCAGACCCCCAGAGGGAAAAAACGCCATCCCAAACCTTGGTGCGCTGTGACTTCTCATTATGAATAATTACTGTTATTGTGAATACACTTTCTTGCTGCTTTGGGGGAAGTAAAGCTGTAGTCTGATTCTGGTTTCTGAGCAATGATCACAAAATATAAGAATAGTAAGAGAAAAAATGCCAGGGAGGACCACCTGAGAAAGAATTAGAATACAAAGAACCGGTAATAAGGAACACTGCTGGAGTCAGAAAGCAATCTGCGAACTCTGAAAGACAAATGCACAAGAATAATGCCCTCATCACTGGCTTTCGGTATCATAACCAGAACCTGTGAGTCTATGTCGTGGAATGTGATCTAAAATGCAACTGAGTCTTTGGATTGTTAACAATTCCAAAGGTCAAATGCCAAGAGTATGCTGTACGTTCATTTTCTTCCGTATTTGGAATTCTTGCCACTTTGTCCCAATTTTTCCCATATGGCAGTATGACTTCTAGAAGAGTTCACATAAGCTGCTACCTATATGTTAGTCACACAAAAGGAACTCTTCCATCACTAGTATATATTTATCATGATACAGATAGTACAAGGAACATACTTCAACTTAAACCAAGTGTTCCAACTGAATGCCTCCCACCCGCCGCTTTCCCACCCCTGCCATTTAAAATCTTGGTTAAAAATTGCTTGGCACTCAAAGAGCCAGCAGTTCTCAAATGCTACTGTGGCTTATTATTACCTGGAGTGCCTGATGAAACATAGATTGGTGGGCCCCACCTACACAGCCTGTATTCAGTAGGTCTGGGGCAGGTCATAAGGGTACATGTCTCACAAGCTTCTAGATGGTACTGATACTGCTGGTCTGAGCCCATGAGTAGCCAGGACCCAGGTGAGGGCTGGATCCCTGGGAAAGCCTTGTGGAGGGTGACAAGGACCCAGGTCCTCCACTCAAACCACTGGAGTTCTAGTGCTGTCTGCTTTCAGAGTGCGTGTGTGTGTGTGTGTGTGTGTGTGTGTGTGTGTGTGTGTATGAATGCGTGTGATGTGGTAGGGGTGAAGGGATACTGTATTTAAAACTGGTAATCCACACAAGATTGCCTGAAAAGAGAGGCAATGTGCTCATTGATAAGATTTTGAAAATCACTGACTGTAACTCACCTGTTCATTTTACTGAAAGGGAAACCACGGCTTAGTGAAATGACATGTTCTATGTCACACAGTCCAGAACGCCGATTATTTAAAATCTTACAATTCCATTCTGTTTTTAAAATGTAAAAGTCATATATGAAAAAGACATCCTCACTCTTAGGGTAAGCCCCAGGAACAAAGTGAAAGTCAACAATGTCAACTGCACACAGCAAATTTTTATACATAAAAAAGTGTTTGGAGGCCAGGCGCAGTGGCTCACACCTGTAATCCCAGCACTTTGGAAGGCTGAAGTGGGTGGATCACCTGAGGTCAGGAGTTCAAGACCAGCCTGGCCATCATGGCGAAACCCCATCTCCACTAAAAATACAAAAATTAGCCAGGCATGGTGGCAGGTGCCTGTAATCCCAGGAGAATTGCTTATAACCTGGGAGGTGGAGGTCTCAGTGAGCCGAAATTGCGCCACCGCACTCCAGCCTGGGCGACAGAGCCAGATTCTGTCTCAAAAAAAAAAAAAAGTTTGGAAATTGTGACTTTACACTCTTGATTTCCTCTCCCTTCACCATCTGCCCACATATACACACAAACACACACACATACATATTATTGAGACTACTTAGGTCTTTTAAAATTAAACAGTGGATCCTCATCAAAGCTTTTGTTTTTTACTCTAAATTCACCTAATTATTTCTATAACAATATTAGCAGATAACCTAACTGCTTTCTGAGGGGCTATAACTGGCTGAAAATTGAAGGATTTCAGTTAGAAAACTGGATCCTGACTCACTGTATCCCACTCAATAACTTCCTTAAAATATTGTGTGCTTTGGTTTTTTTATCAAGAATAAAATGGAAGAAATGAAGCTTCCTTCTCACTCAATGAAGAGCAACAGAAACTTCTTTAGCTTCTGCAGTGAAAGGCAATGTGACTATTTTAACTGGGTTTTGGCCACAGAACAGGCTCAAGGCCCAGCTCTTGCATAATACTCCGTACACAAGAACAAATTTTTCCATTCCTGTCCTTGAACATCTGTGGACTGGATGCCCAAGCACTGTTCTAAAATGAAATGCTGGGAGAGGAAGAGAAAAGGAAGGCAAAAACTCTTGAAATATTTTCCCTTAACTTATCTGCCATCATAATATGTTGGAGAGACAGGCAGGCTTCACAGAGGAGGTGATAACTGAGCTGGCTCTTGAAGGCCTGAGTTGGAGTTTGCTAGGCAGAGGAACTGGAAGGACAGGCCAAAAAAGGGGAATGAGGCATATTCACAAAATGGGGCAGAACACCGCATGTCTGGTGGGGAAATGTGAAGGGCCACAAGAGGTGAGTATGTGTCATATCATGCAGTTTAGACTTTATTCTCTAGACAGTGGGGAGCACCACAAAGGTTCTCAAGGAAGGAATTAAAATGTTGAGATCTATTTAACTGTAGTCACAAGAGAGGATGCACTGGAGAGGAAAATGAATAATCACACATCTTAAACCATAAGGTGGCCCTTCTGGGCAGTCTCTTAAGGTTCAGAGGGAGCAAAGAAAATCCTAAGAAACGTATGAGGAGACACCAGGGACCATGAGAAAGGAAGTCCCAAGAGGCTGTGCACCAGAGTTCTTTCTCACTCAGAGCTGGAAGTGCCCTAGGACGAGGTGACGAGGAGATGTGTGAGATCTGGTACCAATTCCACCAGAGAGGACCCCAAGGTATCTGTACGTTTCTACCCAGTGGCAACCTTTCTTAAAAGAGCCTGGAAGTGTCCAGGCACAGTGGCTCACGCCTGTAATCCCAACACTTTGGGAGGCTGAGGCCAGGAGTTGGAGACCAGGAGTCAAGGCCAGCCTGGCCAACATGGCAAAACCCCGCCTTTACTAAGAATACAAAAAAATTTGCCAGACGCAGTGGCTCACGCTTGTCATCCCAGCACTTTGGGAGGCCGAGGTGGGTGAATCACCTGAGGTCAGGAGTTCAAAACAAGCCTGGCCAACATGGTGAAACGCCATCTCTACTAAAAATGCAAAAAGTTAGCCAAGCATGGTGGTGTGCGCCTGTAATCCTAGCTACTCGGGAGGCTGAGGCAGAAGAATCGCTTGAACCTGGGAGGCAGAGGTTGCAGTGAGCTGAGGTCACGCCATTGCACTCCGGCCTGGGCAACAAGAGTGAAATTCCGTCTCAAAAGAAAAAAAAGAGCCTGGAAGCAACTTTCAGAGACAGTGGTCCAGGAATGCAGGGTTTAGCTTTCAAAATATAAGACGGGTTTAAGCAAAGGAAGCCACTTCTGGCTTAAAGAAGAAATGTAGGGAGCTGGGGTGAGGGGAATGGAGCATGAAGGGAAGGGAAAAGGCTGCCAGATGGAGAGTAGAGAGATGCCTACTTTGAGAGGCAGCTATCTCAGATGAGAGGTGATCCTATAATAACAGGAGTCCTAAAGATGAGAGAGACAAGAATATTCAAGTCATAAGGGTTACCATTATATTAAAGTGTTAAGAACTAAAGCAAGGGTATTTTTAATATTTAATAATGGAAATTAAAATGCCCATTTTACAAAGTGAACATGGAAATTCAGGGAAAACTAAAAGGAAATAGTAAGTAACAAAGCCCAATTCTAAGCCAAGTACTATATGTCTAATACTAAAGCCCCAACTGTTCTCGGCTCACATCACACCATTAGCTCCAAGGGAGTGCAAGAAGACAGAGATCCCATATTTCTCAGAGTGTACTATGGGCCTCTGTCATGCCTGTTTTCCTGAAGGTAACAGTAAATGAAAGGGGAGGCTAGCCACAGAGCAGTTTCCTTGAGCAATGCAACACTTTGTTCCAGGAAAAGGAAATGGTACAATAGCTTTGTGTGTTCAAAAAGAAGGCTTACTCTGGAAAACAAGGCAATTAAGAAAACAGGACTCATTTAACAATATATACTGAGTACCTACTATGTGTCAGGTACTAGAAGGAGGGAGAGAATGATGAATAAAACAGATACAGTCCCTATTCCATACTGTGTACAACTTGGTTAACCATCCTTATTACTATGATAGTATAATAATTTTCTATCTTGGCTGATTATACATTATCCCCAATGGAGGTTTGATTAAAAAAAAAAACATGAAGTCAAAAGTGGTATGAAGATTCTGATTTAGTAGGTCTAAAATGGAGTCCATGAATCTCTATTGCTTTAAAGTTTCTGAAGCATAGTTAACTGAGTGAACTAGACCTCAAGAGAGAAATTAAGGTATCCGCATCTTTTTAATACATGTATTTATATTAACATGAGTTGTTTGCTTCTTTTACATGTGCTTAGTTTTACCACAGGACCAGGCACAAACTTAGTCTTTTTTTAAAGATTTGTTTTTTGTAAGTGATAAAAAGTTAAATTATTCAAGCAAATTAACTCAAAGGCAAAGGAATTATAAAGTAAAAAGAAGGAGGCCGAGGTGGGCAGATCACCTGAGGTCATGAGTTTGAGACCACCCTGGCCAACATGGCAAAACCCCATCTCTACCAAAAATACAAAAATTAGCAGGGTGTGGTGGCACATGCCTGTAATTCCAGCTACTCAGGAGAGTGAGGCAGGAGAATGGTTTGAACCTGGGAGGCGGAGGTTGCAGTGAGCTGAGATCACACCACTGCACTCCAGCCTGCGTGACAGGGCAAGACTCCATCTCAAAAAAAAAAAGTAAAAAGATTTCTCTCTTCTGGCCATGAGAACAACTTAACCTAAGTAAAACATTACATAAAAAAAACAAAAACAAAAAACACACACAAGTCACATGTTATGGTTAGGTATATATTCTACTCTTGTGCAAACCACATATGAACCTATTAGGTTTATCATACTAGTATTAAGTATAGTTTTAGATTAATCAGGTGGCACTGGAAACTTAAGAATCAGTTAAGAAGTCTGTTTCCGGGGCACAGATTTAGATGTCAGCCGCAGTAAACTCCAGCAGGAGATACACTGTAAGGATGAGAA
Organism: Homo sapiens; assembly: GCF_000001405.40. Lineage (NCBI taxonomy): Eukaryota > Metazoa > Chordata > Mammalia > Primates > Hominidae > Homo > Homo sapiens. Next base: position 172,253,489 of record NC_000003.12, on the reverse strand, counting down.
AGAAGGAAAAAGCCTTTTGGGATCCTAGGAGCCAACAACCACATTTTGAGGCAGACACAACTGAAACATTGTGAGCCACTTGATGGACCCCATGAACAAGAAGTGTTTTATTCTTCGTCTACACTATGTGATTCACGTTTGCCTTTTTGCTGTGACAACCAGGAGGCTGAAAACAAAATATATGGCTCACATCAAGCAATGCTACTGGAACCCTGCTTCATCTTATTAATATTTTCCTTCCCTTATCATCTTTCGGCTCCTTAATGCTTACATTTATTTTATCTGCTTCTTTGTGTCTAAGTCATTTCCCTTAAATCAGTTTTGGTGCAAGGCAAGGTGAAAATTATTAAAGAATGAGTCAAGTAATCAAAGTACTTCAAACCTCGTAAGCTCTCTGGACAATTTATACATTCTCTCTCGTTTTTCTTCGGATAAAAATTCTCTTCAGGAAAATCTATTCATAATTTTTTTTAGTATGAGTTCTTGTATAGTCATGGTTAAATTGTAACATTGCTAATAAACTAATTTCAAACTTAGAAATTACAGTATCATTTGACTAAAAATTATTTTATATGAGACCCAGCATCTTCCCTTAAGAGTTGTGTAAAAGTCTCTTGAATCTTTGCTTTCTTTTGTATGATATTGATTTATGTTTTGTTTAAGAGTTATAAGAATAACGTGATAATTGCAGAGTTTGGAAAATAGAGAAAAGAATACATAATTCAAATTAAAAGAACACATGATCTATTCACATTTCACTGTATCTTACTATTCCTCTCTCAGGCTGAAATTCACTCACCCAAATAACGTAGGGGGAAATGCCGACGGCGATATTTCATTTTACCTAATCTTCCTCTCTCTTGTCAGAAGCTCTTCCATAGACACTCAAAAATACACATATTCCATCTTTTTCATTCACAATCACATTCTCACAGACACAGTCCCTTTTTCTACCTGAATGAGATGCAGTAAGGAATCCATAAATTCAATGAGTGTTATAATCAATGAGTGTTATAATCAGATTCCTTACTGCATCTCAGTCAGGTAGAAACTGGGACTGTGTCTGTGAGAATGTGATTGTGAATGAAAAAGGGAATCTACTTGAAATAATTGATCTTATGTTTAAAAGTTGTTCAAGTCTTTGTTTTCCAGTCATTTATATCTATAAACTCACCTACCTTATCCAAATGCTACCTTTTTTGCCTCACTTAAGTCATTCTTCCCTATGCCTATAGAAATAGCCACTGTTTTTCCTTATGTGGCATCAAAATAGGTTCTCTCTAAACTACCTCCAAAACTTCATTTAAACACATAAACCTTCCTCCAAATGAACTGATCTACCCAAGAGATTCATCTACAAAAAGACAGATGCCATTCTGAGTTGATGTTTCTCTACCTATATGTGGTGGCCCTCATTCTTCCATCTTATTCTTAGTTTCTGAACACTTAATTCACAGGCAAAAGGTGGTATGAGACAATAACTGATGCCAAAACTAAACAGAAACATATTTCTGTGATTCAATGATAGATTTCATTACAGAAAGGAAGTAATTACGTATGGTTTATGAGGTATAATTATTTTGAGATTTAAACTAGCCTACACTTTTAGAAAAATTATCTTTGGATTTCTTCCACATCTGTCTATTCAGAGAGTGAAACAACAGAAGTAGGCTAACATGAAAAGATTTTCAAATATTTGTTATTAAGTGCAAAGTTGCATGGCATCTGTGACCAAAATGTAGTATTTCTGCCATGAAGTATTAATAAAAAATAAACAATGCAATATTATTTCCTTACCAAGAAATAGATCAAAGAAGGTCTACTCAAATATTCTTAGCAGAACAACCAACCACCATGAAATAATATTCTCATGTAAAAGATGTGGAAACATCATTTGAGATGTCTCTGTCTTGATAATTCACTCTATGGCAAACATCTTGAGTATTACCTTGCAAGTCTGAATCATTCGACTTTGGGCTGCTTCTTGCTCGTCGCTCTGTTTTCTTAATTCCGGGACCACTACCGCTGCCGCCTCCGCCACTTCCACCACTATGGCCCTTCCCATAGCCATTGTATACTGTTGTGCAGCTGCTTTTGTAGATAGAAGAAGGAGGGCTGTTGAGGCGGTTCTGGCGATCGATCTGGCGGTCTTTCAGTTTTTTGTGCGGAGGCTTGCTGTACTGGTCTTCTCGGGTGATGTAGGTTGACATTCCATAAAATGGTATAATTTCTAAAATGGATGATTATGATAAACCCAAACTCAGTTTACATTTTCAATAATAAATTATTAAATGGTCAAATGATCTGGCTCCTGAAGAAGTCTAAAGTATAAAGGAAGTCTAAAGTATTACTAAATAGAGTCTAATAAATATTTTTTAAGAAAATACTGCTGGGCACAGTGGCTCACGCTTTGGGAGGCCGAGGTGGGCGGACTGTCTGAGCTTGGGAGTTCGAAACTAGCCTGGGCAACATGGTGAAACCCCATCCCTACTAAAAATACAAAAAATTAGCCAGGCGTGGTGGTAGGCGCCTATAATCCCAGCTATCCAGGAGGCTGAGGCAGGAGAATCGCTTGAACCCTGGAGGCGGAGGTTGCAGTGAACTGAGATTGCATCACTGCACTCCAGCCTGAGCGACAGAGCAAGACTCTGTCTCAAAAAGAAAAAGAAAAAAGAAAATGCCATATACATGATATACATTTAAAGCATTCCCATTTGTTTCTAACCAATCAAGGAATAATCAATCATTAAAAACTACACTGTGTGTTCAGAAAAATTCCTATATTACAGAGAATACTGAAGACAAGGTTGTTATCCCTAAAGAGCTCATATTCTAGTTGCATTTATAACTGAGTTTGATTTTTACCTTTCAATATGTTTTCAGTAGTTGCAATACATGAAAAAGTCAGAACAAATAAAATACCCCTATTAAACATGTACTTAGAATCAAGCTACTTTAAAAGTCTACTCATCCCTGTAGACAGAATAGTATTTCTACTGGGAAGTATATTGCAGTCAAAGTTTTCTGTGGCATACAAAAGAGCCAACATTTGAACAAATTTAACTAAGATAATGAGATGACATATTTCCATTTAAAATAATCAAAGCTCACAGAATCAGGGGAAATGTTCAAGGAGGAAGTATAAGGATAAAGAAAAGCCATCTCTGAAATCTGGTGCCAAACATAATAAGCTGTGGTCTCAAACTTCTCTTTTGGAGTAATAGAAGGCAAGACAAATGTAGAATGTCACCTGACTTTACTATGCACATTTTAAAGTGGCTCAAAAGAAAATAGAAGCCTGCAAGCAATCTTATGATCTCAAGGGGAAAACTTTATGTTAAATTTAAATTTTTAAATCAGTTCAAAATTATTTTTAGGTATCAGTAAAAATGACAATGCGTAACATAAAGATTGGGTCCTTACATCTTTATAAGAAAAAAGGGTCACCTCTTCTATGGAGTGACAATATAAATTACCATCCAAATCTGAACACTTCTGAGAGCGAAAAGGAAGGAATATCAATAATTTCTTCAAGGCAAGAGACCTACACTAGGACTGTCACAGGCACAACAGAAATGTATGGTTACCCTGCATAATTTAACAAAACTGCTGTCTCAATTACTCAACAGTAAAGCTCCACTGTTTCTTACTGTTAACATAGCTAAAGCATAAACAAGAGTTGTTTTGTTAAAAAACAAATCTTCATGAGAGAACCAGTTTGCACTAGAGAACGTGTCAAAACAAATATAATCCTATTCAGAGAGTGTGTATCCAAAGAAACTATGTCAAAATATACCAGAAGGATAGTAAATGTTCTAAACACCACGATGTATTACACATGAGATTTAACATATTCACTATGGGCAGTAATAATCTTTTCAGACATGTTGAAAACTTTTAAAACTCTTATAGTTTAGAAAATTAATATTTAAATTGCTTTTAGGTATGCACACTAAGAACTAAGGTAAAAGAATATATCAATGGCTTATTTATAAAGGGAAGGGATTTTGTTTTACTGCTTTAATTTGAAATCAATGAAGGCATTTTTATTTGCATACATTATTGCTCTGTGTTATTTTAATGGAATTAGACCCAAATACACCATAAAATGAAGAGACTACAATTTTGCTTAACTCTAATGACGATTTAAATCATACTGTTGTCTTGCCTAAAATTGCAAAGGACAGCATTTACAAAACAGTAACCATGTGGCATCCTACTAACAGACTGCTAAAATAAGGCAAGTCAGACATATACCAGCAAGCAATGAGTCAGTCACCAAGGCCTTTCATGTCATCAGAGCTCAGATACAGCCAGAAAGCTCTAAGAAACACTCAATTATTTAATGCATGTTGAGTCAAAGCACTGAATACATTAAAAAAATTACAGCTAACTAAATTTTTTCAGTTTTTATCCAAATGTTTTCATAGTATATCCCCAATACTTGATGTTTTCTTGGTGTGTCGCATGGAAAAAAGATCAAATTGATAGGAAGTTATTGATGCTGCTATGAAATCAAAGTATTGATTTCATGTTTTGCTATCATCCCCTTATACGACATTGTGAAAGCACCTGATTAATTTGAATCATGTCAAATTTCTTTGACTACAAAAAAAAATAAACAAAACACACATACAGTCAAATTCTATCCCTAAGTTACAACGATATATTTCACTTAAAATATCATCTCAAAAAAGTTTTTTCTGTGAATAAGTTATAATGTGAGATGAACAGGGAATAATTATATATATAAAAATATAATTATAAATAAATAATTAATTATATAGAAATTATATAATTATATATATATAATTCTTAAAAGTGATAACTTGCTCAAACATTCTATGGTATAACAGGCATTTCTTCTACAATGTATCTAAACCAACATAATAAATGTCTGAAGCAGTAAAATGCTTCCATTCATAGTCAGACTCAGAAGAAAATCACTTTGCAAAGTCCTAGAGGCTAAAGTCTAATTTTACCCTCAATTATCTGGTTTCTTAGTATCCATTTTGATAGAGAAAGCCTTTAGACTAAACCAACACCAGGGTCAAAACTTTAAAAAGATATAATGTTGGTAGCTCTGAGGCTCTTTTCATATCCAGGTAAGTATTTGCCTAACAATCAGTGAAATTGCGGCTGCACTAATGGCTACTCTTAAACTAAAAGCAGGTTCAGGAAGGCCACATCAACAGCCAGGGGATTTTTGAGTTCTGCCAGCATCACAACATAGAGCCTTTTAGGAAACCTAAAGGTTCTTGAGACTTCACAATCTTCAAACACTGGAAATGGGGCACAAAACACTTTTCAATTTCCCTTTAACTGGTAGATCATATGGATACCAAAGAAACGATGTGCCACAGTTGTACCTCAGGCCACTCTCACATACAAACATGCTTTCAGGACATGGGAACGATGTCACACTGCCACTTTTCTAAAATAAAAGGTGGCTACCTTACTCCTTGATCTTGTAAGGTGGGGGTTGGGGCCGAGTTTGTGAAAACTGAAAGAAAGAAAAAGAACTAAACCCACAAAGTAATTTTTCCAAGGCACCATTCAGGACAAAGGAAGCTAGGAATTCCCCATGAGTCTTACAAACCACCTAGATCCTTTTCTACTATGCTTATTTCACAAGAAACAAAGGACCGCCTTGAACTATTGAAACGCTGTAATCAGTTTCAACGGCTCCTGACGCCAACGAAAATCTACTCACCTTGCTCACCATATATTGTGTGGGGAAGATGATGCTGGGGAAAAAACTGAGGCGGCATATCTCCAGGTCCGGTAACAGGTGGGTAGTAAGCCGTGTGTGAGTTATGAATAAAATGTGGATGGTGAGTCAGATAGGGAGGGAGATGATGGGTTGGAGACATGGCTGAGGGGTAGCTTGGGGGATAACACTCAGGAGACTGGGGTGTGACCACCACCCGGCGGACTCCAGTACTATCTTCAATCACCTAAAGAAAAACACAAAAGGAAAGAACGCAGTACATATTAGCAGCCTATGAATATATATAGTATTAATAACTTCCACTTTAATTTTACTTTTCTCTTCCACCATAGAAAAAAACAAATGCATGTTGTATTCTGGTTCTCTAGTTCAACCAGTCAAATGAGTTCTAGAAGTAATAACATGTAACTATAAAAACGTACAAAAACAAATTATTCATTGACATCTGATTCTGATCCCATGTAACTTTTTGGAGAGACCAGTATTTGATAATAAATCTTGTTTTTGTCTTAAAATTTTCACTGGCTTCATCCAAGACGAGTGAATTTAATGTGTGCTGAAACTGATTCTAGGAGTGACTTTTGAATTTAACTATCAGTTCAGTGGTTTTCCAGAAAGAGGCTTTCTGTGCCACCTAAGTACTTTTCCAGGGCTAGGCTTCTAGATATGCTGACAACATTCTTCCCCTTTCCTGCTTTAACATGCACAGTTCCATCATCATCAGGGCTTTAGGAAACAAAGGTGGCATTAACGTCAGAAGCCGTAAGTGTGCCCTAAGATTACTTAATCTAGGACTGAGGATATGGATGAAATGAGGGATTCTGACCAAAGAAAAACTTAAGTAACCCCAAATCAGTATGGACACTTTTGCTCCCAAGATGTCCTCATGATGAGTGTTGTGAAAGAAGATGCTTGGAAAAGCAACCTGCTATGAGAAAAGCAAGCCAATCAACACTCTATCCATTCTTTTTCCAATTCTTTGTTCATTATTTATTTTTAGAAATGGGATTTCACTCTGTTGCCCAGGCTGAAGTGCAGTGGCTACACGCAGGTGTGATCATCATACACTACAGCCTTGAACTGGCCTCAAGTCATCTTCCTGCCTCAGCCTCCAAAGTAGCTGGGACTACAGGCATGCACGACCGTGCCCAGCTCCTCTGAATGTTTTCTAATTCATCCAAGTAGAGCAACGAAGGCAGCACAATGCCAATATTTATTGCCTCTGTGGCCAGCGTCACACTACCAGCTCCTATGAGCAAACAACTTTGGTGAAACACAATGAAAGAAATAACTAACACAACAGATACCATGATGAAAAGGTAAAGTTGTAGGGTACAGAGAATGATAACGTGAGATGGGAGAATCAGGAAAGGCTTCAGGGACCTCAAACAATTGGCAGGGCTGGGACAGCTGAGAGATGGCCTCTAGGTCAGGGCCCTGCAAGGAAGTGGACACGGAGTAAACCTGGCAGTGAGGGCCAGGCTGCCAAGAAGCCATGCCAGCTGATCTAATCAAATGCACGATCGGGCACACACTCTGACAGGAAGTTTTGTTTTACAAAAAAAAAAAAATCTAAAAACCGCACAAAACTGACCTTCTATATTGAAATGGATTTCTCATTATACCTCAGGAGGTTAATTATAGGACAAAATAAAATGACTTAATCATGTCTAAAACATCTTAATAACAACAAAAAACTATACTTAGCTTCATATTTTAAAAGTAGTGCTTAAGACAGATTGGCAAGTCTATCAATGTTTATGTTATATTTCAGTGTACAAAATAGGTTTAGATTGAATGAACGGCCATTAATCCTTATGTTAAAAAAACAGAAATCTTTACATTCATTAATAAATCTATCAAAATAAATGTTTCTACTGTGTTAATAGTTCATAAATAAGATAATATTACCTATTTAAAATTAAGATTCCTAGTGAGATGCCTAGGACACAGCTTTTCATGTGATCTTTAATAAATATAATCTCTTCTGGGCCTTGGCAAGCTAATCACACTAACCCCATTTATGAATGCATGGAAGCTAATTTACAAGTGTATGTGAAGTGGGTGCTTAAACCATGACATTGGAAATTCTCATGCATGTATTGATAATTATCATCAAAGCTTCTTCTATTTTGTCTAAAACATAGAGCTGCATGCTGTTTGGTAGCACATGTATATAAATAGCACATGTAGTATAAATACATCATGATTTTTTTCCTACGATCTGACACAAACATGCATTATCCTACAGTGTCTTATTTCCCTCCTCACCCTCTACTAGCTATTAAGAAAAAAAAAAGGCATATTCCAGATGTTTCTCTTTCATGGAACCTTCATTCAATCCTGGAAGGACCACAGAAGTAAAGTACTTGTTTTCTAGAGGTTTACAATCTTTATTCTTTCATTCAGTGTAAAACTTCCAAAAGTCAACCAGCAACATAGACAACTGATGAAGTAGAACAAGAACAGGGCTCTCACTAAATATTAAGAGGCACGCTTTGGACTTTTAAACAAGACTATTTATAACGAAAAAATTTATTTGATCATTTTATCATATAACTTTGGACCTGTTAACAAAGTGGTTTTAAAAAAAAATTATCAAAAAGCACTAACTTTTTGAAGTTTTTTTTGAAGTAGCTTTTTGAAACCACAAATTGCCTGTACATATAAAAATTGCTTGACAGCTCCATTTTAAAGTATCTTATTCTGTGGGATTTGTAAAAGGTTTTTATTTACATGTGCATGCATAATGAAACCCTTTTAGAAACCTGTTCTTGACAAACCCAAGCCTGTCTTATCATTAAAAAGATTTATTTTAAAAAAGTGAAATATTGGCCAGGCGCAGTGGCTCACGCCTGTAATCCCAGTACTTTGGGAGGCCGAGGCAGGTGGACTGTCTGAGGTCAGAAGTTCAAGACCAGTCTGGCCAACATGGTGAAACCCCATCTCTGCTAAAAATACAAAAAATTAGCAGGGTGTGGCAGCGTGGACCTGTAGTCCCAGCTACTCAGGAGGCTGAAGCAGGGGAATTGCTTGAACCCAGGAGGTGGAGGCTGCAGTGAGCCAAGATCGCACCACTGCACTCCAGCCTGGGTGACAGACGGAGACGCCGACTCAAAAAAAAAAAAAAAAAAAAAAAAAGGTGAAATATTAATTCTGAAATAGTAGAAATATAAAAAATATGTGAATATTTTTACCATTTTTCTATAACATAAATTGCAACATATTTTAGTTATCCAATTCAGCTTTGATCTACATCTAAGGAAATTATGCCTAAGTCTCCCCCAAAATAAGAAAATCTGAGGAGCAATAACAATGCACAAAATAATTGGCAACTAAGGAAACGGTGGCAGTAACATTCTTTAATAAAGATGGCTCATAAATAAATATATTACTGTAGTCGAATTTAGACATCAGACAGAATTCAGTCCAAAACACCTGAGGCAAAAAAAATATGCCTTCATTCTTGGTAGACGACTAAGGAAAAGACAAATTCATTTCCTTTTGTGGTGTAGGAAATTGTGAGAATGTCCAGAGGCAGATGAATCACCTGTATTCAATTCAACTATTATTTCCTGACACATACTATGTGCTAAGGACTGGATATTCAAAGGGGAGAAAAAATAAGTGCTCAACAGTAAGACTCATCCACACAGCCTAAGAATATAAAGAGAAAAATTAGACTAAGTCCTAGTAAGTGCTGTTAAGAAAGCAGAAGTGTGGTGATTTCAGAAATCAGAATAAATATTCTTCATCTAAATTTTTTCCAGCTCTATGACCCAACAGAACTGTCACTCACATATCCTCTCCAGAGAAGCATAGAGCCTTGGAAAAGATCATTATGCCGGGTTCTCAGACTGTCACCTATCATGGGCTGACTTATGTGTCCCCAAATTCAAATGTTGACGTTCTGATGCTCACTACCTTCAGAATGTGACTGTATTTAGAAACAGGGCATTTTAAGTAGACAATTAAGGTGAAATGAGGTCATATAGGTAGACTCTAATCCAACAGTATCTATATAAGAGGAGATTTACAAGACACATGCACAAAGGGAACATCACGTGAAGACACCAAAGGAAGATGGCTGATATGGTTTGGCTGTATCCCCACCCAAATCTCATCTTGACTTCCCACATGTTGTGGGAGGGAGTGGGTGGGAGGTAATTGAATCATGAAGGCAAGTCTTTCCCGTGCTGTTCTCATGATGGTGATTTAAGTGTCACGAGATCTGATGGTTTTAAAAACAGGAGTCTCCCTGCACAACCTCTTTTTTTGCCTGCTGCCATCCATGTAAGATGTGACTTGGTCCTCCTTGCCTTCCACCATGATTGTGAGGCTTCCTCACCCACATGAAACTGTAAGTCCAATTAAACCTCTTTCCTTTGTAAATTGCCCAGTCTCAGGTATGTCTTTATCAGCAGCATGAAAACAGACTAATACAGTAAATTGGTCCAAGAAGAGTGGCACATTGCTGAAAAGTTACCCGAAAATGTGGAAGCAACTTTGAAACTGGGTAACAGGCAAAGGTTGGAGCAATTTGGAGGGCTCAGAAGAAGGCAGGAAAATGTGGGAAAGTCTGGAACTCCCTAGAGACTTGAATGGCTTTGACTAAAATGCTGATAATGATATGAACAATAAGGCCCAGGCTGAGATGGTCTCAGATAGAGATGAGGAACTTGTGGAGCAAAGGTGGTTCTTCTTATGTTTTAGCAAAGGGAGTGGCAGCATTCTGTCTCTGCCCTAGAGATTTGTGGGACTTTGAACTTGAAAGAGATGATTTAGGGTATCCGGCAGAAGAAATCTCTAAGCAGCAGAGCCTTCAAGAGGTGACCTGGGTGCTGTTAAAGGCATTAAGTTTTATAAGGGAAGCGGAGCATAAAACTTTGGAAAATTTGCAGCCTGACAATATAATAGAAAAGAAAATCCCATTTTCTGAGGAGAAATTCAAGCCCACTGCAGAAATTTGCTTAAGTAACAAAGAGCTGAATGTTAATCCGCAAGACAATGGGGAAAATGTCTCCAGGGTATGTCAGAGGTCTTCATGGCAGCCCCTCTCATCACAGGCCCTGAGGCCTAGGAGGATAAAATGGTTGTGTGGGCCAGGCCCAGAGTCCCCATGCTGTGTGCAATCTAAGGACTTGGTGCCCTGCATCCCAGCCACTCCAGTCATGACTGAAAGGGGCCAAGGTACAGCTCAGGCTGTGGCTTCAAAGGGTGCAAGTCCCAAGCTATGGTAGCTTCCATGTGGCGTTGAGCCTGCGGGTGCACAGAAGTCAAGAATTGAGGTTTGGGAACCTCCGCCTAGACTTCAGAGGCTGTATGGAAATGCCTGGATGTCCAGGCAGAAGTTTGCTGCAGAGTGGGGCTGTCATCGAGAACCTCTGCTAGGGTAGGGCAGAAGGGAAATGTGGGGTCAGAGCCACCATACAAAGTCCCTACTGGGGCACTGCCTAGAGGGCTACCATCCTCCAGATCCCAGAATGGTAGATCCACCAACAGCTTGCATCACATGCCTGGAAAATCTGCACTCAATACCAGCCTGTGAAAGCAGTCAGGAGTGAGGCTGTACCCTGCAAAGCCACAGGGGCAGAGCTGCCCAAGACTATGGGAACCCACCTCTTGCCTCAGTGTGACCTAGATGTGAGACATGGAGTCAAAGGATATCATTTTGGAGCTTTAAGATTTGACTGTCCCACTGGATTTTGGATTTGTATGGGGCCTGTAGCCCCTTTGTTTGGGCCAATTTCTCCCATTTCGAATGGCTGTATTTACCCAATGCCTGTACCCTCATTGTATCTAGAAAGTAACTAACTTGCTTTTGATTTTATAGGCTTATAGGCAGATAGGTAGAAGGGACTTGCTTTGTCTCAGATGAGACTTTGGATTGTGGACTTTTGAGTTAATGCTGAAATGAGTTAAGATTTTGAGGGACTGTAGGAAAGGCATGATTTGTTTTGAAATGTGAGGACATGAGATTTGGGAGGGGCCAGGTACATAATGATATGGTTTGGCTGTGTCCCCAACCAAATCTCATCTTGCATTTCTACATGTTGTGGGAGGGACTGAGTGGGAGGTAACTGAATCATGGGGGCAGGTCTTTCCCATGCTGTTCTCATGATAGTGAATAAGTCTCATGAGATCCGATGGTTTTGAAAAACAGGAATCTCCTTGCACAAGCTCTTTTTTTTTTTTGCTGCCATCCATGTAAGATGTGACTTGCTTTTCCTTGCCTTCTACCATGATTGTGAGGCATCCCAAGCCATGTGGAACTGTAAGTCTGATTAAACCTTTTTCCTATGTAAATTGCCCAATCTTGTGAATGTCTTTATTAGCAGCTTGAAAATGGAAAATACAATGGCCATTTACAAGCCAAGGTGAGAAGCCTTAGAAGAAACCAACTAATCCTGCTGACACCTTGATCTTGGACTTCCAACCTCTAGAATTGTAAGAAAATAAATTTCTCTTGTGTAAACTATCCAGTCTGTGGTATTCTGTTATGGTAGCCCTACTAAACTAATACACCCCCTTAGATTACAAAGGCTCAATCCAGCACTTTCTTCTACCTTAAGTTCTACAAGCCTTGCCTGATTTAAAACAAACAAACAAAAACTCTCTTTTAAAAAGTGATACGTTTAGCCTCTGTGAACAAACACTGAGCCATCTTGCTCAGGCTAATGAAGAAATCTGGCCTGATGGCTAATAGAAGCCAGGCTGATTCTTTATCATGTCTGTTTTATCCAGCTTAGTACACGTTTACAAAAAATCTTCTACGTGCCTAGTATTCTTGCTATCCTGTGGCCTAGAAACAAGCATAAGTGGCTAGAGAATAAGGCACAAAATGTGCAACGGAGAGAATCTTTGTCTTATACTAGTGTTCTTATAAATATGACCAAGAGAATCATCAAAACAAAATGAAACAGCCTGGGGATAACAGCAAGATGGAGGGTTCCCAGGAGCAGCACAGGATGGGAGATGGAAAAGGACATCAGTCAGTGCCTGTGGTCTGTCAGCTGCTTGACATGGGCCATCTCATTCAACTTCCTTAACACTTGAGAATTAGGTATTGGCATCCCTGCTTTAGATGAAGAAAACCAAGGCACAGCATGATTAAATTGTGCAACTGGTATGCTGCAGAACCAAGATTTTTCATACTGGTGTGTACATCAAAGTTTTCATTATGTAGAAAATTATACAGAAGCTGTATATTGAGAAGTAAATAGGTAAACAATCAACTGTTGAGAATTAGGATACCTGAGTTATTAAGAGATGTGAAAAGGATTCAGGATACAACTAATACTTATTGAATACTGCTATGCTTTTAATACCCTCTACCAGAAAGGAGTTAGGTAGAGTTCAAGTTCTTAGAACAGTACCTGATACATAATGTAACAAAATCTTACTCATCAATTACTACTATTAATGTTACCACTCCACTAAATCCTGCCAACAATCCTGTGAGGCACATACAGTTACAGTTATCCCCATTTTAGAAATAAGAATGATGCTTAGGGAAGTGAAGGTAATACACTCAAGGACACGGAACTGGGTAAAGGAGGATCAATTTTGTGTATAAGAACTAAAATGGGGCTGAGCGCGGTGGCTCACGCCTGTAATCCCAGCACTCTGGGAGGCCGAGGTGGGCAGGACACAAGGTCAGGAGATCAAGACCATCCTGGCTAACACGGTGAAACCCCATCTCTACTAAAAATACAAAAAAATATTAGCCAGGCATGGTGGCGGGAGCCTGTAGTCCCAGCTGCTCGGGAGGCTGAGGCAGGAGGATGGTGTGAACCCAGGAGGCGGAGCTTGCAGTGAGCCAAGATCGCGTCACTGCATTCCAGCCTGGGTGACAGAGTAAGACTCCATCCCAAAAAAAAAAAAAAAAAAAAAAAAAAAAAAGAACTAAAATGGATCTCCTAAAAACATTTATATTTTTTTGAGGGTTGTTGTTATTTGCTTTTTTTCTTTTTTTTTTTTTTTGTCTTAGCTAACAGAAAAGATAGTTCCTCTTACTGAATTGAAATGCTTCAAAGGAATTTTAATAAACTCCTCACTTCCTGAAGCTCTTTCCTTCTACTCTTGTTGGACTACAAGCCACAAGAATCAAAAGAGAAGCTTGAAAGGCAGGAGGCAAAAGAAAAAATTAAAAAGGCTTCCCCAGATGGCCCAGGATGATCCAGGAAATGGGCAGATTCTGCACGTGGACACATATGAACCCACAAACATACGTAGTGTGATGTGCTGGCAGCCAGTTTGCCAGGGTGGCAGAAAACACTGGGTGAGTTGCCTGGACACAGAAAACTGGGACCAAATGAGTCTGTGAAAGTCAGGCTCAGGCTGAATTTCTTATTGCTGCCAACATGCCTAAAGTGGGATCCCAGGTCATTCCAGGAAGAGAAGATGTCTCAGATAAAAGTGAGCATGCGAACAATGAACAAAGAGAAGAACAAGGCTGGTCAATATAAACAAGCTGCATGGACTCAGGGGATGGGTAGGCAGAATCCAGGATTCTCCCAAGCAGGCTGGTGCTCACCTCTCCCCTCTCCACTCAGCACCTCTATCCTGTAGCTTGGACTACACATCTGTCTCTCCCACCCAGCTGCAAGTCCCTCAGAAGCAACTGGGCACACAGAAGACTTTCAGTAAATGTTGGTTAAATGAGTAAATGAATAAGAAAGCAAGCCAAAATAAAAAAAAAAAAATAAATTAATTATATCTGCTTAGATTTGGTATCTGCCAAGAATATTAGCACGTCATTATTAAAACTTTTCTCCATAACTCTGGTAAATAGCTGACATCCTATTCTAAAATCTCAGAAAATCTGAATCCAGTTAATTTTATATCTATCATTCCTGATCTTCTTATTTTAAATAAGCATGATTTTATCACAAACATTTATACAGAAAGATCAAACATCTCCAGTGTAAGTTCTACTTTAATCCTATAGGAGGCTGAGCAGTTTTATTTTGCTCACCAATCAGGAGTACAAATGCATCGGTACTCACTTTCCCAATTTGCACTAACTCTTCCCTCTGCATTTTCTAATATGGTAGATAATATAAAAAAGGAAAGGCAAGCTTGTTCTTCAGGTAGGGTAGAGATTTGAAACGTAAGGTCTGTACCCACCCTAGCCAATCCCCCTTGTGCTGCCAACTCTCACCACCATCACCCAAGTACCATAAGAAGAAAGAAAAATTAGGATAAAGGAATGTTCTAGGGCAACAAAAGAGTTTTATAGTACTAAGTGGTCAAACATTTTATTTTATAGATTAAGCTACTTGACTTAAAAATGTCAGTAGAGGGCTGACTGTGGTGGTTCATGACTGTAATCTCTGTACTTCAGGAGGCCAAGGCGGGCGACTGCTTGAACCCAGTAGTTCAAGACCAGACTGGGCAACGTGGCAAAACCTTATCTCTATAAAAAATACAAAAATTTGCTGGGTGTGCTGGCACGGTCCTGTCATCCCAGCTACCTGGGAGGATGATGTGGGAGGATCACTTGAGCAAGGGAGGTCATGCCACTGCACTCCACCTGGGTGACAGAGCAAGATCCTGTCTCAAAAATAAAAATCAAAAATTAAAAAATGGTGGAAGAATTGAATATATTACCCTAATCTCCAGACTTCCTTTTCTGTTTTCAAATCTAAAGATTAAAAGTGTGGTTGAAAACATCAAACTACTTTTCAAGCTCATTTCTCTTCACATCTGTAAATGGCTAATAGTGATGAAATAATATTTGATATTTGCAAACTTTCATTATCATTCTAGGTTTCGGACCAGCTCCTTTTGCCACAGAACATGATTATTGTTGTCTTCAAAAGGAAAAATAAGTGACTGGTGATGTTTCTAAAAGCCCTTTAAATAATAACAAAAAAAGATTATCCTGCAGAGTACTTACAGCTTGATAACAGATATCCTCTTCTGAATCAGGAAAAAGAAGAAGTTCCTTGAAAACTACAATTGTCTGTCTCAAACAGTTCTTGCCAGTGATTAAGTCTAAACACCTAATTTTGTCTGTTTTATAGGTGATCAAAATGAAGGTTTTCGCTAATCAGTTAATTCATGAACAAAAAGTCCCCAGAGTTTTTATGAGCACTCTCATTTATGTCTAGAAATCTGAAATTTCCCATCCCATTGGTGCTTTATTTTTCTTTTTTAAGAGATAGGGTCTCACTGTGTTGCCCAGGCTGGAGTGTGATGGCTATTCATGGGCATGTTCCCAGTACTGATCAGCATAGGAGTTTTGACCTGCTACATTTCTGACCTGGGCCAATTCACCCCTCCTTAGGCAACCTGGTGGTCCCCAGCTCTCAGGAGGTCACCCCATTAATGCTGAACTTAGTGCGACCACCCTGTCAGCATAGTGTGATACAGCCCAATACTCCTGGGCTCAAGCAATCCTCCGGCCTGTAAGGCACACACTGCCCAGCTGGTGCTTAATTTTTAACCCACACACCAACTGCAGGCAATAGGTAAGGTACAGACTGAGGGGAGAAGGGTTAGCTCCAGTTAACAAATCAAGTGTTGCTGTTCAGGAGAATCACAGCTGAAGGTACTGAAGGTACTGGTGCTTGTCTTCAGCATTTCTGGGCATGAATCTTACCGACAGGCTTTATTTCAGAGGTGATCAGTATAAGAAGACACTCTCAAAAACGGCAATCCTTCCACTGGCTTTGTACATGCCAACACTTTTATACACTCAGAAATAAAGCCAAGCTTCTATTCACACTTATTTAAGTCTTAAATCTGGCAAAGGAGCACAGCTAAGTCATATATAAATGAAATCAACTGTGAGTACTTTACCAGAACACCTAGCTCTTTCCAGGTGCTACTGTCCAATGACAGTAACCCCTGAGGGTTGGACAGGAGAATGGAAACAAATACAGATCTCTGTGGTACCTCTCTGATCCAACTACTTCAGTGAATTATGTAATAAAGACTTTCCAAATTAAGAAGGAAGTCCAGCAAGGTCAAGAGACACATCTTATGAACTGGAGACCCCAGGATGAGCCCTCAGTTAGCTAGCTACAGCTCCACTTTACTATAGCCCAGAGTTGTCCCCAGATAGAGAATCCCATGGGCAAAGAGGAACCCCTCCCTGGTTAGAGGGCTAAGCTTCTCCAGATACTGCAGAGAACCACGAGGCCTCATCTCAAAGTAGGGGTCCAAAAAAACACAGCACTGGGGACTGATGCTGAAAGCAAAACAGCAATTGATTAACTTAATATATAAGAATCGAAGTGACAACAGCAACTCCTACAATTTGTATATCACTTAATAGTTTATAAAACACTTGGCACAGACCTTGACTTGCATAAAACTCAGAAGATCTAACATAAGCAGCATCACAGTCCTAAATTCTAGCTGAGGAATCTTCAGCTATGATTAAGTAAATTAACCTAAGGTGGGCTAAACGGGTGACAAGATTCATACCCAGATACTCTCACTGGAAATACCACTCCACTTCTTTCACACTTGATTGTATATTACTGACCTAAATACCAAAAAGAACCAAATTCAAAAATCAAAAATCAAAAATCAAATCTAATCCTGCAAACAAATGTGTGGCACATAAGAACACTGGACAAGTGAAAAAAGTTCCATCCCAAGAGTTTCAATCGATACTAAAATGGATCAAATAATTATTTCAGATTAAACAGAAATGCTATTTTAGGGGACAGGCTTTCTGTTAGGTGACAAACAGTAAGTAGACATTTGATGGCTTTATTTGTGCCCAGTTGAGCTGCTTCTGAGATGTGAATAAAGCTATCAGCAGTGGGCATCTGCAGTACCTGTCCATTACCCATCACAGAAGGGAAGGCCAGTCACATCTTTTCAGCCCAGCTTCTCAGGCACACTCAGGTCCATGGAAACACAGATAGATTATTCCAGTGATGCCAATACACAGAACAGGGTCTTCCAGACTTAACCCAACAGGCAACTGGCATATTCATCAACATAAAATAATTCCTTACATTTAAACAGAACATGTTACCATTCAAGACTTTCACACCTGTGAGACAGCCCAGACAATCTCTGCAGGGAAGGATACAGCTATACCTTTCCAGAAATGAAGGCAAAGTCTGAAGTTAGAATATTTTTCATGGTTACTCAACTTGTAGCTGTACAGGGTAGAGCCCATGTTTGGAATACTCTGACCCCTGCTCTTTCTACTACTGTACTATCCCACTCAGATTATGAGATTAGACATGAGGTATCAAGAAATCAGTCTGGACCCTTCCCAGTAACAGAGCTATGGTTCTAAGTTTCAAACATACTAT
This sequence comes from Homo sapiens, assembly GCF_000001405.40. Classification (NCBI taxonomy): domain Eukaryota; kingdom Metazoa; phylum Chordata; class Mammalia; order Primates; family Hominidae; genus Homo; species Homo sapiens. The sequence continues at coordinate 172,235,474 of NC_000003.12, read as the reverse complement.
TACTCACCAAAAGGGGCAAGAGCCTTAACCAGGTACACAGACCCTAATCCCCCCAAAATAAGATGAACAGAATTCAGGGGACCATGATCTCAGTTAGAAATTACATCTTTATTATTCACTAACATCCAACTGAAATTTTGTATTTCCCTGATTTATAAATGTAGGCAGCAAATCATAGTAGTATTAGCAGTACCTTTGACTTGGTTACTAACAAAATGTGACATTTCCATGTCATATTACAGTGTTATAGAAATATTAATCTTTATAATAATCACAACTTCAAAATTATTGTAGTTACTAGATCTGATGCTAGATGTTATTGATGTGCAAATAAACCAGCACAAAACTTACCGTATCACCTTTTAAAAAAATTTGACCAGTTTTGAAAAAACTGGTCTCCTTTGTACCTATGAATTTTATATTTTCCTTTAAAAAAGGCTTCCCCAGTCTGTCAGTGGGTTCCTTGGTACAATAAAGAATTAAGAACCCATTCTGAAGATATTCAGGTAACACCTATCACAGATTAAAATAACCATATTATATAATTCTAATTTTGTGAACCTAATGGGTTTCAAAGAATGTGTAGAAATATAAAATTCATCTAACCTTGGTAAAGTTTTGCTACCCAACAGGTCAGAAAAAGGTATTTTTCTTAAAAAAGTTATTACATATGACAAATATGACTTACTAGTTTAGAAAGATAGATTATAATAATTGTGCAATTAAATAAAATGTAATAGAAAGGGCAAATTTAACACTAATGATTCCGAAGTCATTTCTGGATGTGATACTGTGTCAATCCTACTATGAAAATCAATTATCATTTTTGTATAGAGGTGAAAACTAGCATTCTAGTCAATAAAATGCTAAATGTCAATAAGTGTGCCACACTGCTTTGGTAATGACTGCTTTTGGAAACTTACGTATAGTCTCATTTGATACCCTGTTAAGGAATAATATGAACAGAGGAGAATAATCTAATTTTAGATTAGAAAAGAACCCCAGAGATCCTGAAACACTTTCCTCTCTCCGCTTCCCTCCATGAGATAAAAATCACTCCAGCCAGATAGCCAAATTTTGATAAATGCCTATTATGTGCTGGGTACCTTTCAAGGAACTAGAGATCAAGTGATGAACAGGACTGAACAGGACACACAAGGTCCCTGCCTTTGTGGACTTAAATGCTAAAAGGAAGACAGACAATGATCAAGTAAACAAGTGACACACCCAAATAAATCACTTAATATTCCTAAAATCACACAGAGAGTTGGATGTAGAGCCTCGCTTGGGCCCTCGTTTCCTCCCACTAATCCCATGTTCTATTATGTCACGATGCCGGGATCACAGAAACAAAGGAAAGAAATCAAAGAGAAAATGCAGAACAGGGAGAAGGCTCAGAAAGACGAAACTGCACAATACTTTGAGGGGAGGGGATGTCCTTGGTACATTTCTTTAATTTAGCATTGCCAACCCTGTCTGTAATTGCTCCTTGGACAAAATAAGCCACAAGATAAAAAATAAAATTGCTTCAAATCCATTGATAACTGAAACGAAATATCTAAGTACTATGCTGTTTTCCATGGAACACAATACCAACCCCCATGCACACAATGTACACTATGGAACAATTCCCTAACTTCCTATAGAGAAATCAGTTCCTCTGAAGGACCAAGAGTGTTGAAAGAGAATCCAATTCTCCTTATTGGCCACCAAATGGGTCTGAATCTCAGTTTCTCAGGGCATAGGGCAGTCCCCCATGTGCCTTTCTGTTATCATTTTCACAACGTTGAAGGTGAAACAAAGCAGTGGTTTAATCCCCAGCTGTAATTACCAAAGGGAAGCAGTTGAGGCTAATGTCTATAGCTCAGCTGGCTTGGCTAAGCGAAATGGGGGGAAAGTATTGCACAGCTTCCACCTAACAGGCCCCACTGTTTCTCCACAGAGGTGTCTGCTTTCTGGCCAGCTCTCCACTCATCATTGGCAAATGACCAACCAAACCAAAATTCAAATATATTTTTCAATACATTTCTTGTCTTTCCCTGGCTAAGGGAAATGAAATATATATAATTTCAACAGGTACTGACCCATTAATTAATCCCCAAAATAATCCAATGCGGTATTTTTGTTGTTTCTGCTCTCACAACAAAAATATTTATTTTGACTACTAACTTTTGGGATTACAACAGTTAATCTGGAAAAAGAAGAGTGGTTTCCCAAATGATAGAACATTAACTTGGAGGTTTCACTTTTTCTCTTCATATGCTTTTTAAATCCTTGGGTCAATATGAAGTTTTCCCTATAACATTTGAGCAAATGTATCATAAATTACTACGGAAGCATGGAAAATAAAACTCAAAGCATCTGCTTAAGAAATTTTTACATATAAATTATTCAGAAAGTTAATGGTGAGGTTAAAAAACAGAGAGCCATGGCCAGTATACAATGGAAGGAAAATTTTCCTTCACACCATGTGATTTCAATATGTATTTAGGAGGGCAAGCTCTGCCAAACTTCCATTGGAACTGTTGTAACAGTCTTTTTCATTGTAGTAGCTACTACTTACTGAGTGCCACACCTCACATAACATTTCTCCTAATTCTTACCTCTACCACGTCAAGTAGGTGTTCACATATGTGGTGAAATAATTTATCAAAGTTACACAGAAAGTAGCCAAGATGGAATCTGAAGAAAGGCCTCTCCAGGTAACGTCCATGTTCTCCTTCAGTTTCAACTCTAATCACACTCACAAGTGCTTTTACATAATGGAGATGATGACTGTGATAAGATTAAATTCCCACTTACCTAAATCCACTTTCTCATAGTTTAAAAAAAGGTCTATATTTTCTCTCAAGTTGAAAAGAATCCCTCTACCTCTCATCCCACTAAAAAATAAGGCACAAAACACACCACATCCCCCAACCTACTATATCAGAGAAACCACCAAGCTGAAATGACAGGATTCCACTGTTTTTGCACCCTAAGTCCACAGTTATCTGTAAGGTCCACCAATTCAGCCCTTCTCAACCTAAGAAAACAAAGCTCGTGCTGTTGATTGCACCTCCACAGCTGTCTGTTAAACTTCAGGAGTTTATTATCTGCTTATTACTGACATTTGTATTTTGTCAGATTTGACCAATTTTATTAATTTATCTTTAAAGGACTTTCGGCTATTTAATTATACAACAAATCTGCTATAATCAAGAACTTCTCTATTCAATCAGATTAGAGTTATTACCATAAAATCTTGATTTACTTGCCTCCCTCTTCAATTTTCTTACAATTAAAGACCATACTGGCAGGGTGTGGTGGCTCACACCTGTAATCCCAGCACTTTGGGAGGCTGAGGCAGGTGAATCACTTGAAGTCAGGAGTTTGAGACCAGCCTGACCAACATTATGAAACCCCATCTCCGCTAAAAATATAAAAATTAGCCAGGCATGGTGATGCGCGCCTGTAATCCCACCTCCTTGGGAGGCTGAGGCACGAGAATTGCTTGAACCCAGGAGGCAGAGGTTGCAGTGAGCCAAGATCATGCCACTGCACACCAGCCTGGGCGTCAGAGCAAGACTCCATCTCAAAAAAAAAAAAAAAAAAACGGTAAATAAAGACCATACAATGCACAAGCAGTTGGTGTTTTAGAAATGGAGATGCATAAGTAGGCACAACACACACCCACACTCACACTGCCAGAAAGCAATAAAAATCATCAGGACAAGGCTCTGCCACGGACTGTGAGATTGTATCATAATGGGAAAGAGGTCAGTGTAATCAGAAATGCATGGGCTGCAATCCTGGTTCCAACCGGGGCGTCAGCATCCTCATATGTAAAGACAGGACAGTGAAAACTAGACATAAAAATAAACCATTTAGCACAGTGCACAACATTCATAGTAGTTACCATCACCATCACCACCACCAATAACTCCAAAGTGGGGCCATTTTCCCAGCTGCCCCATTGTTTCCCAATTCATAACTGGGACGTGTCACTGTCTTCCCCTTGCCCCTTCTTTTGTACTAGCTTTATTGAGATTTAGTTTATATAACATAAAATTCATCCGGTCACAGTGTCCAATTTAGTAGGTTTTAGTGTCACAGTTAAGTAACCACTACCACTATCTACTTCCAGAACATTTTCGTCTCCGCAAAGAAACAGCATACCCCATTAACTCCTTCCCCCCAACTCCTGGCAACCATTGATTTATTTCAGTCTCCATGAATTTGCCTATTGTAGACATTTTATATAAGTGGAATGATACAATATGTGGCTTTTATATCTGGCTTCTTTCACTTAGCATACTGTTTTCAAGGTTTATCCATAGTTTAGCATGTATCAGTTCTTTATTCCTCACTATGGCTGAATAATAGTCCATTGTGTGAAGATATTATATTACATTTACCTATTCATAAGTTGATGGGCATTTGGGTTGTTTCCACTTTGGGGCTATTATGAATAATGCTCCTATGAACATTCCTGTACAAGTGTTTGTGTGGTCATATGTTTTCATTTCTCAGGTATATACCTAGGGGTGCAATTGTTGGGTCATATGCAACTCCCTATTCAACCATCTGAAGAACTGCCAGATTGTTTTCCAAAGCAGATGTACTATTTTACATTAACACATACAGTGTATTCCACTTTTCCTACAACCTTGCCAATACTTGTTACTGTCTTTTTGACTATAGAAATCCTAGCACATTAAGGTATTGCAGTGTGGTTTTGATTTACATTTCTCTGATGGCTAATGATATTGAGCATCTTTTCATGCTCTAACTGGCCATTTGTATATCTTCTTTAGAGAAATGTCTATTCAGGTCCTTTGCCCATTTTTAAATTTCTTTTTATTCTTGACTTGTAAGTTTTTTATACGTTCCAGATTCAAGTCCTTTCTGAAACATATTGTTTGTACATATTTTCTCCCATTTTGTGAATTTTCTTTTAATTTTTGTTGTTGTTGTTCTTTTTTTTTTTTTGAGACAGAGTCTCACTCTGTCACCCAGGCTGGAGTGCAGTGGCACGATCTCAGTTCACTGCAACCTCCGCCTCCTGGGTTCAAGTGATTCCCCTGCCTCAGCCTCCTGAGTAGCTGGGACTACGGGCATGTGCCACCACACTTGGCTAATTTTTTTTTTTTTTTTGTATTTTTAGTAAAGATAAGGTTTCATCATGTTGGTCAGGCTGGTCTCGAACTTCAGACCTCAAATGATCCACCTGCCTCGGCCTCCCAAAGTGTTGGGATTACAGGCGTGAGCCACGGTCCCAGGCCTCTTTCCACTTTTTAATGGTGTCCTTTGAGGCACAAAAATTTTTCATTTGTTTAAAGTCAAATTTATCTATTTTTTTCTCTTGTTGCTCATGCTTTCGGTGTTACATATACAAATCCATTACCTAATCCAAGGTTATAAAATTTTGTATCTCAAGTTTTATAGTTTTAGTTCCTAGATTTATGTTTATAGTCCATTTTGAGTTAATTTTTGCATATGATGTGAGGTAGTGGTTCAACTTCACTCTTTTTGCATGTGGATATCCAGCTTTTCCAGCACCATTTATTGAAAAGATTATTCTTTTCTCCAGTGAACTGTCTTGGTGTTCCTCTCTCTTTTAAATACACATTCAGAACATTTCATTCTTTGCAGGTATAGATCAGTCTCATTGTTATTTTCCATCTATTGAGCATTATATTATTCTCTTTAAACATGCAAATCATTTAAGAATATATATGAATCTCTCCTGTACTTACTTAAGCTTGGACAATCATTTATATTTAGAAACATTTAGCAAGTACCTACTTTGTGCCACGCAGTATTCTAGATGCTGAGATACAATCCCCATGAGGCAATATGAGTTCTTGGTGATGACTATAAATACACATTTTATTCTATGACAGGGAGGGAAAGAATCACAGATGCTGAAAAAACAGAACAACTATTTCTGTGATGAAGGTTCTAAAAGGGTCACATTGAGGAGGGGCACCAAAAAGAACAAGTGAATTGTCAATGAAAGGCTCTAGAGTATTCCAGACAGGGGGAAATAATGGACATGAAAGTGTGTATTTAGAAAGAGGCCCAAGGTATCTAGGGAACAGAAATTTAACACATAGACTGTGGGGTGACAGGTAAAGGTGCCTCTTGAGAGGTAAGCAGGGTTGAGTGTTATGGATATTATACACCATGCTACAGAACTTTAACTACATGCGAAGGCAACCAACTCTAGACCTGAACAAGAAAGTAATGTCTACTTTAGGAAGAGGACTGTGGGGATAACTGTACAGAACTAACTAGCAGAGGGACAGATTAGTACTGAGCACTTCTCACATATGTCCAGCCTGCTGCAGGAGATTGTGTGTGTGTGTGTGTGTGTGTGTGTGTGTGTGTGTGTGTGTGTGTGTGTGTTTCTTTCTTTCTACAACTGCATGACAACAATGTATCTTGCTCCTATCTCTTGGTGATAACAAGACAACTAAGACATTTTATATTTGGTTCGGCCTTCCTCATTTCATTGAAGTGTGTGTACTGCCAGCGTTAAAGAAGATGTTGTGTACACATCCTGTTGGCTTCTCAATTCTATTTTCTTCATATTAACAATCTTTTTCAGATACTCTACTGTAACGTGTCATAAAAGACATAATACTATCACGGAAGGTCATTTAACTTTGCACCCATCTTCTGGTCAAGGAGCCCAATTGAAATGAAGTTAGTCATTCACATGCCTTACAGACTGCTTCTTTCCCTTTTTCAATTCAAATTATTCCATTTTAACTATTCTTCCAATATTGTCTAGCATATTCTGCCATACCTGTCAGCCGGGAAAGAGCATCAACATGCTTCCATCATCAGTTTCATACAAGCGAGTGTACAGCTCTACTTTTACTCTATTTGGATTTTCTACAGAAGTTTTCCAGAATCCGAACTATATCCAAGTCAAAAATTCTCCACTTTTCCTAGTACATGCAATAAATATTTTTGCATTTAATGTAATCACAGCAATAATACTAGTAAGAAAAAGCACACTGAAGCTTCTCTCCGTTAGAAATGTTCAATTTTTAACTGGTATTTCTTAAATGGACCTTTAGCATAAAAGGAGGTGTTATTTTTGCGTCACAATGGTGAGAACTGTACTCTATTCAATGGAATGAAATGCTTCCTCAAAATACATGAGCAGGAGACATAATGGAATTCTACATTCCTTGTTCTTTTCTGTTAACTGACGGCTGATGTGAATGTGATCCATCATCTGGTGTCCCTGCTGGAAGAGCCTGTTCTACACCCCTTTCTCCCTCCAGTGATTCTTACTTACAAAGACTTGTGTAAAGTAAGTCATTTATTTGCAACAGCAGGAAAACTGGCCAGCAATCTGGCTATGTAAGTAAGTAAGTAAGTAAGTAACTCAGTAAGAAATAAATAAAGTCCAATTGGCTCACATAAAAAAAAGGATGGAAAAAAATGAAATTATAGTGGCTGCAATATGCCTTACACTTGAAAAAATGGGTAAGTTTTTATATCAGAGAAGGATAAATCTTTGATTCCTGCCTCCGCTTCAGCAACTTTCCTATGTAGCTGCCAATTTTTCGCCCTAGCAGAATCATTAAAAACTGAAAATTACATATTTTAAACCACTTTAAAAGCAGAGGCTGAGAGACAGAGAAAGAGTAGAGAAAAGAAAAATCCATCTGGAAGGATATAATCAAAAACATGTTAGCAGAGTGATTATCATCTCTGGATAGTAAAATGGTAAATATTTTTCCTTTTATGGTAAGTAGGAAGAACAAAAAAGGCAGAAAGACAGAAAAACAGTTTGTTAGGTATTTGGAAAGGTAGCTATGCAGAAACAGAAGATTTGCATATTGTGCTGAGGCTAGGACAAAAACTAAAGTATATACAGATGTCCACAATGTTCCAGCCATGCAGAACATTTTATGCTTTATTCACGTACAGGAACATAACTTCATCCTTTAAAGCTTTTCTACCCTTCCCACAGATCTCTGAGATTGCTATTACCATCATTTTACTTAGAAAACCAAAGCTCAGAGAAATTTAAGTGCAAACAGCCAAGTTCTCACATCATACTCAATAACTCACCAAGCCTAGCTTTTGCCACATTGTGGAGCAATTGAACTCCATTTTTTTCCTTCTGTAACAGAAGGTAGGCCCTGTTTATGTGAGCTATGTCTCCTTTAATATGTTAACTAACTACATCTATGAATTTTCTTCCAGAAAGTTGTATTACAGGTGGAAGGAAATGTCTGAAGCAGGAGACTCCATAAAGAAATCACAACCAAACAATCAAATATAAAAACCCCACTTGGCAGAGGACAGTCTAGTAGGCCTTCTGTGTCTCCTTTTCTCTGGTTCTCTGGTACGTCAAGTGGCAAGACACAAGAAACGCCATGTGGTGCCACAAAATGATGGCAAACCTAGCACTACGGTACCCAAATTAACTCCTGGAATATGGCTTTGAAGCCTCAACATATATTCTGTTGGAGCAACGACAGTGTCCATAGTGAGTAGAGAAGTCCATCAAATGGATTACCTGTGAGATATAACCTGGAGGCACATGAATGGGAGGAATGGATCCATTGGGTGACATCATGGGAACTTCAGCAGGTCCTAAAACAGACGAGTCAGATGTTAATAGCTGAAGAAACATACATTATTCAAAATAATTAATGTTTTCAATGTACTATCCAAACTGAAGATAATTAATGACTTTGACAATTTGCTCTTCAAAAGTTGGTATATATTGCCTTAAAGCTAAACCTGAAACCATGAATGAAAAGGAATTCTCCAGCTATACAACTCAAAGAAAACAAACAAAAAACCCAAAACTATAAGTATCTTTATAAATATTTAATGATTCCCAAAACCTCAAGTTCCATAAACCAAGATTGCTCAGTTAGTAGTAGTGTAACAGAGTGGGGCAAAAAGTTTCTTTCTTTTTATTTGGCCTTTAAAAGAATGCATAATTAATCAATATTTAAACAAATCAATTATAAAATTATTTTTTATTCTGGTTTAGAAAGCTCCTATAGACTTTGCATTTATGATTTTCAGTTAGATTATTTTTAATAAATTACTGTAATATGCCATAATTTGAAATAGAAGAAATCCTTAAATTATTCCAAACCAACTGAATAAGGCAGGGGGAAAGAATACATTTTTTTTTTTTTTTTTTGAGACAGAGTTTCGCACTTGTCACCAAGGCTGGAGTATAATGGCGCGATCTCGGCTCACTGCAACCTCTGCCTCCCAGGTTCAAGCGATTATCCTGCCTCAGCCCCCCGAGTAGCTGGAATTACAGGTGCCCGCCACCACGCCCAGCTAATTTTTGTATTTTTAGTAGAGACGGGTTTCACTGTGTTGGCCAGGCTGGTCTTGAACTCCTGACCTCAAGACCCGCCTGCCTTGGCCTCCCAAAGTGCTGGGATTACAGCTGTGAGCCACCGTGCCAGGTCTAGATCATATTTTAAAATAAGGAACTATTAAAAATATGTATGCCAAATTTACATGGATTATTTCAAAGTAAAGTATTAAATTAACAAGAAATTTGTTTCAAAATAGGAAATTCAGTTTTCTGATCCACCATCTGGGATGGAACCACAAGCAACAGGCAGATTTTCATAAAAGTCCTTACAGGAAGAGCACCACTCTCAAGGTTGAACCCTTGGACACAACAGAAAATCCAAAGGCCAAGATCCAGAATAAAGAAGGAATTTCTCCTGATCAACAGAGACTGATCTTTGCTGGCAAGCAACTGAAGGATGAACATACTCTAACTACACATTCAAAAGGAGTCCGCTCTTCATCTTGTGTTGGGACTTCATAGAAGTAGTCATACCACTCCCAAGAAGAATAAACATAATAGAAAAAGATTAAGCTGGATGTCCTGAGATACAATAAGGTGGATGACAACAGCAAAATGAGTGGCCTTCATTAGCAGTGTCCTTCAGATGAATGTGATGCTGGAGTTTTTATGGCCAGCCACAAACAATTGACAGACATTATTGTGGCAAATATTGTCTGACTTACTGCTTCAACAAACCAGAAGACAAGGCTCAGCACTGTGGCTCACTTGAGCCCAGGAGTTTGAGACCAGCCTGGGCAACATAGCGAGATCCCATCTCTACAAAAAATAAAAAATTAGCTAGGCATGGTGGTGCGCGCCTGTGGTCCTAGCTACTTGGAAGGCTCAGGTGGGAGGATGGCTTGAGCCCAGGAGGTCGAGGCTGCAGTGAGTCAAGATCAAGCCACCATACTCCAGCCTGCGCACAGAGCAAGACCCTGTCTTCCCAAAAAAGTTTTTAAAAACAGAAGACAAGTAATTGTGTATGAGTTAATAAAAGACGTGAACAACAACAAATTAAATTCAATGAATGTTAATTACATGTCTAAGGCAAACAACAAATGGCAAAGGTTAACAGTTACCCAAGACATAGTTTTGAGTTAATATTTAATTACAAAGAAACTGGCTGTTGTTACATCAAAATCAACTTCAGACACCTTTCAAAGATCTAACGATTAAATAAATGGCTTCCCTAGAAGTGCAAGAACCTCATGGCCACTGGTTTTCTATTTGGTGGCTGGCTCGCCTATTTAGCAGCCCACCTCCCAAATGTCAATAGAAAACTATGTGTTTCTAGTCTGAGATGCGACTTCCTGGCTCCAAGTGCCTTGCATTGTTTATTTGCTTTATCCTAATGTATGTTGTGCTGTCGGCAATGAAAATTGCTCAGCTGGAACAAAAACCAAGAGAAATACAACACTTTATTTGGTAAAAGGCAGATCCTGCCATCCAGTGCTGCATTTAAACGTGCACACAATGCATCCTTCACTTCACAGTACAACCAGCGTTATGACCACTTCACAGGAGAGGACTCAGCAGGGGGAAAGGGACAGGGACACTGGTGAGCATATGAACAAGTCTGTGAAATAGGAAAAAAAACAGGAGCAGGGAAGAAAATTTGTATACTATTTATCTAACATTCCAAATGCCAACCGTTCAATCCAAATTCATGGATAATATACCAAATCACTCAACTATCTGGTCATCTCTGTAACTGTAAAAAGTAAACACAGCAGTCTCTCACATGCTAACACATTGGCAATAATTTAAAGCAAAAGAAGAGAATGGCATAAAAATCGATCATTGCATGACCCCATTTAATTCTTAAGTATAATTTAAACGAATACATCCACCAATCGCTGAAGGCTTTGGTTTCCAAATCCATTTTTCTTGTCAGCCTCAGCATTTTTGACACAGCCAACGAGAGAGTTGTGTATTTACTTAATATTTGTATTTGAATTGACTCATTAAAAATAAATCATAAACAATGATGTCTGCCCCATCCTGAGCAGTATCTGTGAAATTCAAGGGCTGATGTACACAGCTCAATGGAGCAGATGTTAAGAGTGTGATCTGCCTGGTTTTATTCCCCAGCTCACTATTCACACTGGTTGCGTGACCTTGAACAATTCACTTAGCCTTTCTGAACCTTACTTCCTAATAGTCATAAGTGAGAATAACAATTCTTACTTCATATGGTCAGGTTTAAAGATGAAATTCATTACACGCAAAAGCGCTTAGAGCAGTGCATGGCACAATAATCACTCATCAAAATGTTACTAGTTATCATTATTCTTTACAATGCTTTTTATAATTTTATAGATAGTTTTGGTTGCTTTTTAAATTTTTTTTTGTTACTATTACAAGTAGTAAAGCTTTTTAATATTCCACACCCATGCAACATAAAATCAACAAGTATACACTTGGTACAACATTGACTTAGGGAACAATCCTTCCTCATTAGGTAAAAATAAAATGTTTCACAGTACAGAGTGTGAACAGAGGTGCTACCATCTCAATAAAGTATTGCTTTTTAATCACCAAAACGTATACCATGCAAATAGTCTCTTAACCCCAGGCATGACCCCTAAAACTGTTAAAGTCATTTGTGTAAAATGCTTTAAAGAATGTAGGACAAGCATGTGATTTACAGCTAGAAAAGGTTTTCTTCACAGTCTTGATTTCAAGAGTAGCCAAATGACTTTAACATGCTTGTTCCCCCTTTTGTCACTGTCATCAAAACTATTTCAAAGGACATTTAAAAATATGCACTAATAGTTTCCAAAACTCCACCTTGCCTTAGAACCCCAAGTTCCTCTCCTTTCTGAAATAAACCATTGCATCTATAGGCAATTTGGAGTTTAAAAGCTAGCAAAATAAAATCTCATTCACCATAGTGGTACGAAAAGAAGTTATTGTCTTCCTAAACATTTATTTCCCAATCTGTGAGTTTACTATCTCTGCTGAACTGTGTTTGAGAATGCCCAATATTATTGTAATCTTTCCCTAATTAAAACACTAATTTCTCTTCGTAAAGTTCCTAAAAGTCTGCTAGCAATTGTTAATGAATTGAATTTTCATTTACTTAAACCTTGAACCAGAAAGGTTGGAGAGCCGCTTTATTATTCAATCAATGGTAATTAATGCAATGATTGTATGACAGTATTCACACATCAAAGAGACAAAAGGAAAGACCAGCAACATTGTATTCTTAGGACCACACAAGCTCTTGGAGAGCTCCTGAGCCTCCACCAAGGCTGCAAGATCATTCTGCCTCATCCTCTGTTTCTTCCCTGCTACCAGGGATCCCCAAGAGCAGGGGCGCCCAATCCCCAGGCCACGGACCACTATTGGTTTGTGGCCAGTTAGGAAATGGGCTGCACAGCAGGAGATGAACAGTGGGCAAGCGAGCATTACTGCCTGAGCTCTGCCTCCTGTCAGATCGGCAGCGGCATTAGATTCCTAATCAGCAGCGAACCCTATCGTGAAGAGGGATCTAGGCTGTGTGCTCCTTATGAGAATCTAACTAATGCCTGATGATCTGAGGTGGAACAGTTTCATTCTGAAACAGCCCCCCTCACCCCCAATCCGTGGAAAAATTGTCTTCCACAAAAACGGTCCCTGGTGCCAAAAAGGTTGGGAACTGCTGACCTAGAGCTCACACATCTCAGATGCTATCTTCACAACATTCACCCATTCTGGGAGCAGACAGAACCAGACTGATTAGGTGAATTACAAATAAAGTTTGGAAGTCTGAAATGGTGGAAACTGGGAATCCAGGGTACAAATCATCATTTAAACAAGTCTTAGAAAAAGATCAGCTATAAACTAATCAATTATACTATAATTTCAGGCACTTTTAAATGGTATTTTTATCATCTGAGTATTCATGTGCTTGTCTATAATCTGATAATGAATTCATAGAATTATTGTGCTTGTCTATAAACTGGTACTTGTGTGTCTAAACGGCTATTTTTCAACAATAGCCATTAGCTGCAATAGATCACATTTTTTCCTAATTGATTTAAATATCATCTTGCTCAAAAAGGATGTAAAGGAGTTGACATCACAACATAGCAAGATGAAAATAAGGCAAAGATGAAATAATGATGTGATAAAATCTAATTTATCCTATAAAAGTGACCCTTCAGTCTTTTTAAATAGCTGAGGAACAGAAATTCTTGCTGGCAGAAGTAGCCATAAGGCCACAGCTAGTAGGTAAACAGATAATAATGGTGAAAGTAATTATCAGAACAAATGGTCTAAATACAAGTACATTTAAGCTGTTTGCAATGGGTCTAAGACTGCATACAAAATGTGAGGTCTTCTGATGAATCTCATAAATGTCTAATGATGAATCTGCAATCATTCATGGTGACTCAAGACTCTTACACAAGCTAAGAGATAATGTAGGCACTTTGGTTAGCCTTGACATTCTTTTTTTTTTTTAAATTATTCAACACTGATTAATCCCACAAGGGAACTAAAAGGAAGACAAAGAAAATAAAGCACAGATGCTAACTTTAAAGAAATTCGAACTCTGCTGCAGTGGTTCTTCAACTTCAGTGTGCATCCACATCATCTAGAGCGTTTCTTAAAATACAAATTGCTAGGCCCCACTTCGCACAGTGTCAGAATCAGAAAGTTCAGAGGGAACCTCCAAGAATGAGTATTTCTAACAAGGTCCCAGGTGGTATGGATGCTGCTGTCTAGGGACCATGCTTTGATAAGCTCTGACTTCATGAGACAGAAGACTATAAGAACCAGACTTTCCACCAACATCAGGAACTAGACAAGGATGTCCACTTTCATCACTGAGATTCAACATTGTACTGGAAGTTCTAGCCAGAACAATTAGGCAAGAAAAAGAAAGGCATCCAAATTGGAAGAAGTAAAACTTATCTACTCACATATGACATATCCCAACGTATAGAAAATCTCAAAGATCCCACAAAAAAAATTACTAGAGCTAGCACACTAATTCAGTAAACCTGCAAGGTATAATATCTGCACAAAAAAAGCCAATTGTGTTTCTACACACCAGGAATGAACAATCAGAAAATTAAGAAAACAATTCCAATCATAACAGCATCCAAAAGAATAAAATACCTGGTGATAAATTTAATCAATGGAGTGAATGGTCTATATACTGAAACTACAAAACACTGCTAAATAGTAGCATGAAAAAGAAGATTTATTTATTTTTTTTTAATAGAGCCAGAGTCTCACTATATTGCCCAGGCTGATCTCAAACTCCTGGGGCTCAAGTGATATTCCTCGGCCTCCAAAGTACTGGGATTACAGGCATGAGCCACCACACCCAGCCATGGAAGATTTATTATTAAGCTAGCAATAATACTCAAAGTGATCTAGAGTCAATGTAATCCTATCAAAATTCCAGGGACTCCAAATAGACAAAAAGAATGAACTTGGACCCCTATCTCATATCATATACAAAAATCAACTCAAAATGGATCATAGACCTACTTATAGAAGCTTAAAAAAAATAAAACTCTTAGAAGAAAACAGAAGTAAATCTTCATGACACTGCATTTGGCAACAGATCTATAGACACCAAAAGTACAAGCAACAAAAGACAGATAAAATGAACTTCATCAAAATTAGAAACTTTTGTGCATCAAAAGACATAACTAGGAAAATGAAAACACATCCTATAGAATGGGAAAAATATTTACAAATCATATTTGATAAGGGACTTGTATCCAGAATATATGAAGAACTCTCACAACTCAACAAAAAGACAAACAACCCTACTTAAAAATGGCTAAAGGAATTGAATAGACATTTCTCCAAAGATAATATGTAAATAGCCAACACACAAACACATGCACACACATAAGAAGATGCTCAACATCATCAGTCATGAGGAAAATACAAATCAAAACCATGATGAGATACCACTTCACACACACTAGGATGGCTATTAAAAGACACACACACACACACACAGAAAATAACAAGTGTTGACAAAGTTGTGGAGAAATTGGAAACTTGTACACTGCTGGTAGGAAGTAAACAGAAACTGTGGAAAACTGTACCACTTCCTCAAAGTTAAATGTAAAATTACCTTATGACCCACCAATTCCACTTTTACTTGTATTAGGTTGGTGCAAAAGTAACTGTGTTTTTTGCCATTGAAAGTAATATATCCAAGAGAATTGCAAACACATAAACAAACACATCTACAGGCATGTTCACAGCAGCCTGTACATGTGTTCATGTTCACAATACTCAAAAGATAGAAAGAGCTGAAATGTCCATCAGGAGAAGGATGGATAAAATGTGTACAAACCATAGAATACTACTCCACCATAAAAAGGAATGAAGCACTAATACAAGCTACAATGCTGATAAAGCTTGAAAGCATTAGGATCAGACCCAAAAGATCACCCATATTGTGTGATTCCACTTACACGAAATATTCAGAATAAATAAATCTACAGAAACAGAACTCAGATTGGTGGTTGCCAAAGGCTGAGGCAGGAGGGTGGGTGGAAGGTTTGCAGGACTGAGGAGCATCCGCTCAATGGGTACAGCTTTTTGGGGTGATGAAAAACGTTTTGGAAACAGAGGTAGTGGTTGCATAACATTGTGAATAGGTGTATTTACTTAATGAGTTAATTTTATGTTTTATGCATTTCACCTTAACAAAAAAAGAATTGAAAAATTATGCAAATAACCAAAGAAAGATAAGGTAGTAAAACTGGGGTTACTAACAAGCTACAAAACAGCAACTGCATATAAATCTCTGAGAGCACATTTTCATTCCACATACATTCATATTTGTAAGGACACTATTTCTAGACACTGTGCTATGCAAAGGCCAAGAGGTGCATTGTCTATCCACAAGCAACTGCATGGGGATACAGACATATAAACAAATAAACACAAGAAGGCATTTCAGGCACTGTCTAAATTTTACAAGATTTAAAAAGATTACTATCTTGTGGAAACGTTAGTAATTGCAGAACTGAGGAGGTCAAAGGCCCTTAGGATATAGTAGAAGTCTCACAGCTTTACAAATAAACAGACTGAGGCCCAGAAGCAAGCTGACCAGCCCAGGAAAGAGCAGGCAAGAGATGGAACAACAGGGACAAGAACTCTGTTCTTCTTGTTTTTCTAATTTCACTTTCCTTTGAAAGCAAGATCTCTTGTTCCTTAAACTGCTGCTGGCAAACTCGTCTTCTTTCAAGGTGTTATTTTCACACAGAAGCTAGGTACTGATGGCACTTCCTCTGGCTCAGGTAAAATGATGGAAGGCATACTGGTCTCTCCAACCTGTGACTACTTCTTCCCAAAGGCATCCAGCCAGAGAGGAAACAGGGCAGGAAGGCGCTAAAGAGGCTTGAGTTTGCACCTGGACTCCATCACATTCTAGCATGACCTTGGGGCAAATTACTTAAAACTCTCTGATCAACACTTTACTGGCCTACCAAAAGGGATGACAGCTGCTAATTTCAAGGGTTGTTGCAGGACTGGAAGATGTAATGCATATAAAGTACCTAGCACTGTGCCTCGATGAATAATATCTTAACAACTTTCACACTGCCCCAGTAGAAGAAAAATACCATGTGAACAAAGAGGTTCACACAGTGTTATCATTCACCACAGAGGCCAAATGAGTTACACAGTTTCTTAGATGAGCAAGTGAGTTTTTTTACTCTTCACATTCTTTCTCCTAAAGTATCTTTCCATCTTATAGCTTGGCAAGAATATCCTCCTCTTGAAAATGTAGTATCTTCACGATAACCTAATTATGGTTATTAAAAAATAAGAAAATAAAAATAACAAGGTAAGGGTGGCTGCTTTGTCATAGTTGTCTACTCCCCCCAACCCTAGTCCTCTGTGTCTCCCAAAATTACCTGTCCTGCTTCCCCAATTTCTAGGAAATCTTGGAAAGTTAGGTGTGCCAGCTTTCGGGATGTCCTCAGACAGCTCTAAATCAAAGGACCAGCCCTTTTTTTTTTTTTTTTTTTTTTTTTCCTGAAAGTCGATCTTCTCCGTTTCTCTGGCATTGGCTTTATTTCAAGAATTTCTAGTCTGGCCCAGTCATTGTCTTTAAAAGGAGCAAGTGACCAAAAGAACAAATTGCTCAATGACTAAATTTTCCTGCTAAAATCTTAACGTATATCACTACCAAGAACCAAAACTGAGTTGCTGATAGAATTGTTAAATAAGGGTAGCCACCATCTTCTCACCTGGCCATTTCAAATCACAAGGCCAGCGTTAGTGAACAATTCTGTCTTGCCAATTTGAAATTCAAGTCTTTTCTTTCAAACATTCCTCTTTGAACTTGTTTTGTTACTTAGCTGTTTTAAGGGCATCAGGAATAGAAAGACCGGGGTTTAATTCTCACATAAGACAAGCTTCTTAAATCCCAATTTTCCTCAATTTCATTGAAGTTGAGGTATCTACCCAATTAGCTACTTTATCAAGTTGTTTTTAGGCTTAAATGGTTTTAAAAAAAAAACCCTATACACTTATTGTGTAAATACATAATGCTATTCTTTTGTTAGCTTATGTTTTATTAAATTCAATCAACATTCATTGTGCAAGATGTAAGGAATTGAAAGTCACACAGAAGATTTTATAACACATACATAAACAACAAACTACTGCATAAAGCAGCAGCAATTGTTTCATTAGAGGCAAGGAACTCTGGAGCTGGACAATAACAATTATCCTTAGAGTGGGTGGGGGAAGAATATTCAAAATTCAGTGACTAGCAATGAATGGTACAGAAAGTTGGTGAATCCATTCACAGCAGGCATGATGACCTAACATGGTTTCAAAAAGAACTTGATTTAAATTCAGGGCTACAGAAATGCAAGCTTTAAGACTGTCAAAGACATCAGGTACCAGGAGACAGGCTTGTAATATAACCTTCAACTCCAGTTTTTAGAACCCTTGGTTGTTGCTTTGTTCAGTTCAACAAACTTTTGTTGAACCCAACGTAACTGCCAGACCTTGTGCAGGATGCCAAGGACACAATGACATTGAAGAGAACAAGCATTTCTGTTCTTAATTATGGAGAGAATGGCATGCGGAATGAGTAATGCACAGGTGCACAGAACCATGTGGGGGACGGGGAGACCCAGCTTTTGGCCTGAGGTTTCTGTGTATCTCAGCATGGAGTCAGGCATATAGCCCAGACAACTCAAGCAGCATGAGCATTTGGTGAAAGTCTGATCTAGCAACAGAAATAATTGAAGAGTTAGGTAGAAGACCTCTGAGAAAAGGTCCAAGAAATTATCTTTGGAAAAACAAAAAACAGTGGGTTCCATACATCCAGAGTGACGGTGAAGCTGAATCTCCCAGGGTCTCAGGACTCTGCTCTTCAAGTTAAACTTTATCACCTTGCCCCAGTTTGAAACATAATTTACTTAGGCTACAAATAAACAACATTCAGGATTACCTTATCATTTAAACTTATTTATTTATTTTGAGACAGGGTCTCGCTCTGCCATCCAGGCTGCAGTGCAATGGCATGATCACAGCTCAACGCAGCCTCAACCTCCTGGGGTCAAGCGATCCTCTCACCACAGCCTGAGTAGCTGAGTAGCTGGGACTACAGGCAAGCCACTACATGTGCAGCTGGTTTTTGTATTTTTTTGTAGAGATGTGGTCTCACAATGTTGCTCAGGCTGGCCTTCAACTCCTGGCCTCAAGCGATCCTCCCACCTCAGCCTCCCAAAGGGCAGAGATTACAGGTGCGAGTTACTGTGCCCAGCCAGTTAAACTTATTTAAATGAATACTAAGATCCCATCTTTCTTTGTTTTGATCTTTAATGTCAGGTTTGGAATGGCAGGTAATCCAAAGATAGGCTTATTTATACTTAAACCAGGACCCCGTAAACATTAAAGCCCTAAAGAATTATACAAATGCAACTCAATAATACTGAGAAAAGGCTTCTGATATTTAACAAGTAAAGTCCCTGCAAATATCAACAGCAAAATTAAAACAAAGGCATCACCAGAGCATCGAGTGCTTCATTTCAAAACCTTTAAAAGCAAACCATCCCAGCATTTTCTCTCTTTGGCACATGAAGGGCATCCGAGACGCCCTCGGACTTTCTCACACAGCGTGAAGAGGATCTATTAGCATTTCAGCTAATAACAAACTCAAGACGGAGTTCCCAGGAGAGGTGAATAGGAACAGGTGAGCATGACTCCTAGTGGTATCCTCTAGACAAACTTGTTGAGGGTAAAAAATTACCCCCTATTCTGCTTATCAGAACAAGGCTATTTAAATTTTAAATGCCCCGAGGTAAAATGCAGACTAAGATGTTAAAGTTTACTCATTTTGTAGAGAAAAGAATCAGAAAGATTGCTCATTAAAAGTCGATGCAAGTAGAGCAACTAAGGGAGGTCTCAGCAGGAACGGGGCAGAATTTATTTGCTGCACTGGCCCCGAGTCCAGGCTGGACTGCAGTGGCGCAATCTCGGCTCACTGCAACCTCTGCCTCCTGGGTTTAAGTAATTCTCCTGCCTCAGCCTCCCGAGTAGCTGGGATTACAGGTGTCTGCCACCATGCCAAGCTAATTTTTGTATTTTTAGTAGAGACAGGGTTTCACCATGTTGGTCAGGCTGGTCTCGAACTCTTGACCTCAGGTGATCCACTCACCTCGGCCTTCCAAAGTGCTGGGATAACAGGCGTGAGCCACCACGCCCAGCCTCCGAGTCTTTTAACAGGGTTGCCTGTCATTCTCTCACCAGCTTTCTCTGCTCTTAGGAAGAGTTATGAAAGGGAACAGAGATGAATAAAACCTTGTCTACTCTTCCTCCATGTACCCCCACTTCCATCCCATTTGCCTGGCCACAAGGCCCTCTTCTCCCAGTGGGGACAGAGAAGTGAGCAAAAGACAGGACAGCAAACAAGTGTTTTTATAACAAGTCCATGAAGAACTCATGGGCAAATACACATTTCCTATTTTATTTGTGTTCCACTTTACAATTCCTAGGTCATGCTCTGGCAGGGCAATTTTGCAAATAGTGCTGAAATTATTAACCAGACAACAAAATGTCATTGTACTCCTCACAAGCTCTGTTTTACATTATTCATCTGTTACAAATGAAAGAACATGAAAAACATCACCAACCTGAAAGCTGTATGACAAGTAATAATCATGTATTGCTTTACCAACATATCATTACTCAATATATTTCAGGGATTTCAATTATTGTTGCTTTAGTGAGGCTTACAAAGCAAACCACAGAAGATCCCTTTTAACTACTCTCAGGGTTGGCTCTTCCATTGCCCCTGCAAGAGTGCCTGCCATAAAGCAAAGTCTTTGACAACACTGTAAGGGCATTTTATTGACAACATCCTAACGTGGTTTACTAGCTTAGTTCTTTTAACTCATGCACTTAAAATCCAAAGGCAAGAGAGAAATGTCCAGGATGTATGGACTAGAACTACTAAGGAAAATCAAAAGTGATTATGGAAATGGAAAAAAAAATGAACCAAATATTCCATAAACACAGAGTCATAGTTTATCTACCTGATGCCACTTTCTTGCCAATCTAGAAGGCTGCTCAATGGAAAAAAAAATGAACCAAATATTCCATAAAACAGAGTCATAGCTTATCTACCTGATGCCACTTTCTTGCCAATCTAGAAGGCTGCTCACTCACTCATCATCACTTCAGTGTCAGGCTGGAAGGGACCAGCAATCTCCAAAAATTAACTTAACTTTACAAAAGTGTCTTGATTGTTAATAAAAATCCTCTAAGTTGTCCGGCAGCTGGGACCTAATAATGGGCTGTGAGATGATTAGTTTGATGTATATAGTTCCAGTCTCTGCCTTACCTAAACCACACAGAAGGGGTCCGGAAAGTAAATGAGAGTTCTTACAGACCAGCCTGTTGATTTTACTCTTTTGTTTGTAAGTGAAAAACAAAGGGCAGGCTAAGGGCTGAGGGTAAACAACAACTACAAATAGGTTAGGCTCTCTTACCTCTGAAGTGTTTGGCGTCTGATCAAGGGCAGTCAGTAAACACCCCCAAGCAATTGTGGGAAAGTTGGTCACCTAGACTGCTATTTTCTCAGCCATAAAAATGAACTGACAAAGTTATTGTTTGAGAGGCACCAGACTGCTTTATGGCGCGGCACCATAGATGCTTCTAATTTTGGCACATTGCCTCCACAGAAACAAGCAATTTTTACTAAACAAGCTACAATTTCACTTTCAAAAACCAACCCTTCATCTACTACTAAGGGGGCCTGAGACAAATCAAAATCAAGGGTCTACATTTGGGGTAACAGGCTACCAGAAAGGTCTCCTAACTGATTCACTGCTGTTTATCCTGAGCTGAAAAAGCAACAAGAACAGATACATTTTAAAGTTAGCTCCTCAAAACAACTACTAAGCCTTTGGGGTTTGCTAATCTGGAAAGGCTAAAAAACCGAGGCCGTATTAGGATAGGTAAGAATGGGGAGAAGGCAAAATTACCAGGTAATCACTAAAAACAAGACTACATCAAAATGGGGAGTTTTGCATATAGTACTATCACTGGTTAAGCAAGAGTATGAGCACAAACAAATGATATGCATGATATATAAATATGAGCAACTCATAAATCCCTTCAAGGCAAAACTTTAGGATTATACTCCTCCCTTTTCCAGACATCCCTACTCAGACAAAACTGTGAATACTGAGAAGATAGGAGTTTCTTCATCACCTTATCTCTATCACTGCCTTTGAGAAACCACTGTGGTTTATGACTTGTCTTCCCCATGACTTAAACTGTAAAAGAATCCCCATGTTCCCATGTGCGTATGCTCACATGGCCTGAGGTCCAATGAGACGCACCTTTGGCCTCATACTTGTCTAGGGATCACATTCACTTTTAGATGAGTAAAACACTGTCAAAGTATTTGAGTAAAAATTTTCTGGCCACAGATCTGAGGTCAGGTCTGTTAGGCTGTCTGCACAGAAATGTTACTAAAATCAAGTGGAGAACAGATAAGGAGAAAGAAGGATCTGGGGCAGAAAGCTGATCCTCTCTTTGAAAAAGAAGGGAGGAACCAGACAGATACCTAACATGGAAGAAAAAGAAAAAGGAAGGAAATAATTTCATGGATTGGTGTGTAAACTACAAACAAGGCAGAAAAGCCACAACCAGAAAATACATGTACCCAATTAATCTCAACTGAATTGTTTTCCAACTGTCCTCGTGATACATTAAGAGATCTGTGACCATAGCATATGCATGATATTCAAAACGGTAACTGATACAAATCACAGGAATCCAGAGGCTGGTCACTGGTCCATTTCAGCTTTCCAATAGTATTTTTTAAAGTTCTTCTCTTCAGTCCATCCCCATCAAAACCAAATGGCTCAGTGGAGATATGGGATTCAGTCTGTATGGCCCTGGGCAAGTTACTTAATTGTTCATGATACAAAGTAAAAGAGAAGAAACCTGATAATTTCTGTGCTTCCTTCTAGAGTAATATGCTGGGTGGTAGTGGTGGTACTGGTGTCACGTAGGTCTGTGCTTGCAGATTCTAGAAAACAGGTGTTAGCTGACAATTTCTAAATTCTTCCTGCTATCATCCTCAAATGTGCTACGTCAAAATTTCTAGGCCTTTTTGAAAATGTAGATTTCCAGGCCTTCAGAGTCTGCTTCTCCCCACAAGCAGCCCAACTTCCTCAGGCCATCCCTGATCACTGGTTTTGATGCAGATGTGCTACGGACCAGTTCAGAAGAATGACTTGGAAAGAACGCGGTAAAAAATAAATAGAAAGTAGAAAAAAACAGGCTCATTCAAGATCCTTGAAGCACATCTCATTTGTAGTTACCTTGAGTCCAATTAGCTAAGTTTTAATTTCATCACAATGTTTAAAAGTAAAGAGGGAAAAAGAGTCATTAACAGAGTTCCATAAACTTTATCCTATTAATGGATATTTAATTGAATATGCTTCAGCTGGCAAAGATGACTATAATTTGGCTAAAAATAGTCCCCCAGCTTTAGTCATAATAAAGCAACCACTGTTTTACTTCCATGGCAACAACAAAATGATCACAGGATTTTATATAATATAGGATAATAAGCACTCTATGAAGAATCAGTCTATGCAATTATTGCTGTTTATTTATATGATTAATGGTCCCTGGTGATCGTTTAATATGAAATAGTATACATCTAAGAATAAGGAAGTAGGTAGAACAGCTGATAAAACATTTATAAACATCTTTAATTGACAGCTAAGATCAAAGAATTGGAATTCTCTTGGGGATCTTAACAGTCATCCAGACCAATTCCCCATTTAATGCTTGAAGTTTTGAACAAAATTTCTAACAAGTAGCAGAATACTTCAATGTAGAGTTTACTATCTCAAAATGCAGAGAAATTCCATTTTTTAATAATCCTAACTGGTAAAGGGTTTCCCCTTTTTCAAAGGCAGAAATCTGAATTCTGTTCTTAAGAGCCATACAAACAAAATGTAACCTCAATTCCATAAAACAAGATTTAGATACAAACTTAGGCAGTTGAATCCCATCAGCCCTCCTCTTCTACAGGCAAAAATCATCTGGGCTTTCTTTATCTTCTCCTTCTATGACATGCCTTCCAACCATTCCCCTTGGGTCCTTCTAACAATCTACCTTATCTATGCCCCTTTGCAAAATCAGGTTCTAAAAACATTATATTTTATCATTTTCTGTATGTCCAAGGTGTGGGAAATCATTATAACCCTGGGCTACTGACAGTCAAATTCAGAAATAAGTCCAGTCAACCTCTTCCCTACACCAGGGTCAGTGGACCAATGAGGAACTCAACCCACTGCAGAGACAGGCAGAGCCTGCAAACAGGATCCCGCCAAGTTCAAATCTGAAGAAGGTCATGATTTCTGTTTCTTCATCCTGAATTACACTAGGTTATTGAAATCCTTAGTATTCCAATCAGCACTGTACTCACTGCTTAAAAACCTACGTTTTTACATTTATGTTATGAGTCATTTTTATGTTATACTCTTTGCAATCATTAAAATATTTAAAGTTTTATGTTTTTCAGTGTGTGTATATTGTCATATGAAATCATAAAGTTCTCTTCATATGAAATATTTTAATCTGTTACTTTAACTTAAAGGTTTCTGGAACAGCAGAGTAGTAAAGCATTGAACAAGAAACTCTAATTTTCAATCCCAACTTTTGCAAATGTGTCAGCAGCAAAATCTCAACTCACTAAGAATGTGTATAAAAATAATGATTTAATGATTCTATGTATGGGTAACACATCCGAGTAACACATCCAAGTAACACATCCAAAAAGCAAGTAACTTCTAAGCTGAGCTAATTCTCTCACTTGAGCCAGAAAAAAGAATATTTGCTTCCCTAAAACCTTAGCTTATTCTTCTCAACAGTCATACCTGTTTGCATATTCATGTGCAAATCTTTTCATTTTTTTGCACTTGGCTGAAAAGTTTAACTAAAACAAAATACTACAAAAGTGCAGATTTTGCCAGGCACGGTGACTCACACCTATAATCTCAGACACTCGGGAGTCTGAGGAGGGAGGATTACTTGATGTCAGGAGTTTGAGAACAGCGTGGGCAAAAAAAAAGAAGTGAGATTCTCATCTCTAAAAAAGTTTTAAAAATAAAAAATTAGCCAGACATGATGTCACACACTTGTAGTCCCAGCATACTTGGGAGGCTGAAGTGGAAGGATCGGAAGGATTGTGTGGGCCCAGGACTATGATTTTGCCACTGCACCCCAACCTGAGTGAAACAGACCCCATTTCAAAAGAAAAAAGGAAAACAAAAAAAGAAAATTAAGGAAAAATGCAGAACTCTTAAGAAAAATCCAATGATCTGTTTTATCAAAACATATCATAATGATAGCAGTGGTAGCCCACGTGGAGCAGCCACTGCAAAGATGCCAACTGCATGGAGGAGTGGGGGGCGGCTTCGTGGAGCTGGCGGGGGCTGGGAACAGGTGATCCCGGTGGGAACCCTGTGCCCTACCAAGTTGGCAGGGTGGGAGCCTGCGTCCCTGGGCACAGCTGCAGCCACCCAGCTGCAGCTCTGGACCCAGGCATCCCTGCGCTCCCGCAGGCTCAGAAGTGCCTGCTTCCACTCCCTGGCTGGCCTCTCCCTGTCCCTGGCACCCACTCCAGTCGGAAAACAGTTGTGGCTGAGCCTGGGCACTGTTGCGAGCCAGCCGGATGTGTGTGTGCTCAGGGCAGCACTGACATGTCAGCCCCCTGCTGCCTGGACTCCCTCCAGACGTTGGGCACCAACGAGCATGGGAAGGAGGCCAAGGGGCTGAGGGCAGTTCAGTGCGGGCCTGCAGGTGCCCCTCGGGCCGGACAGCCTGGGCGCCATGGATGGCATATTGATAGTGGTGGGAGGCAGACAGTTTCCTAGGCAGGAAGGGGCAGGTCCCTGGTGAAACTCCACCTTTAAGCCAGGGAGGGCCTGAAGCCTATGGTCGAGGCTGCCAGTTCTGGGTGGAGTCGGCTACTGGGAGTGAGAACTTCCTTGATGCCTTTCGGATAATCGGATGGTGCTTTTTCCAGGCCCGCCTGTGGCCGCCCATGGACCAATCAGCACACATGCCCTCCCTTCTGAGCCCATAAAAACCCCCAGACTCAGCGACTCATCACCTGTCTGTGGATAGGTGCTAACCACTTTGGGTCTCCTCTCCACTGAGAGCTGTTCCTGTTGCTCAATAAAGCTCCTCTCGGCCTTGCTCACCCTCCAGTTGCCCGTGTAACTTCATTCTTCCTGGATGTGGAAGAAAAACTCGAGACCCACCAAACAGCAGGAACGAAAGGAGCTGTAACACTTTCCTGGCCAGCTTGCCCAGCTGTGGGCGGCAGCTAAAGGGGCTGTAACACTACAGCCCTCCCGCCCTCTGCCAGCACTAGGCAGCCACCTCATGCAACAGGAAGCAGTGGTGGTGCTGGACCAGCCCAGGAGCCAGAGGCAAGCATGACTGAAAGAGCTGTAACACAAACAGGCTGAAACACGACCCCCACCCCCACCCCCGCTCACTGCGCACTGTAGGCAATGAGGAGAGAAGAGGTGTGGCCCTACTGAGAGCCCAGAACTCAGGGCTCCCGGAGCCAGGGCTGTGACACGCTGTAACACCCTCTTTGGGGCTCTGTGGTTCCTGGCATCTCCAAGCTTTCAGGCGCCACTGTGTTCCCCTCATCCAGACACTGGTACCCACAGCTTGTGGTATGTCTGGTCCAGCCACAGCCTTGCACGGAGCCAGCACCTATGCTGGTGCATGGAGCTGCCCACCCCACTGCAACAGCCAGAATGCCTAGCTGTGCACAGTGGCCGGACCCTGTGCTCAATCATTTAGACACCCCTCGCCGCTCCGTGACTGGCGCACCCTTGGCAGGGGAGGATCCTGGCCGGTGGTGCTGCCTGATCCAGGCCAAGTGGGCAGAAGAAGCCCAGAAGGCACGAGCAAAACTCAAGCAGAGGCGCCGCCGGCCAGAGGTTTCTGGCTGGTGAAGTGACACCCGAAGGATCCTGTGTGATGATAACTCAACAGTAACTGAATTTGATCATTACACATGGTATACAGGTATCAAAATATCACATGTACTCCAACAATATGTACAACGATTATATAGCAACTTTAAAAATAAATAATAAAAATAAACCATATTGTCCACTAAAACTACACATTCGGTCTTCTCCATTTGTTCTCGATATACTCATGCCCCCTAACCTGCTCAACCTCTGGGAGAAGGCTATATGAGAAGGGCTCAAAATAAATATATGTATTATTATTCATGTTTTGAAAAAGCCATTTCTGACAGTACACAGCATGTCCACCTAATCTATTAAATTGCTCTAACTGCACAGTAAATTAAAGTTCAAACTACTATTGTTCCCCAGGAGTTGGGGGAAAATGTCAGATTCCTTTAATTTGTGCTTCATCACACCTTCGGTTTTTCTTTCCCAGGTGTTCATATCACAATATATTATATTCTTACTAATGTCAGCTATAGGAAAGAAAAAAATAAAGGTTCAGATCTTAATCACCAAATCTGCTGTCCAGCATGGACTTTATAGAATGAAATTTACAAGGAAATTAAAAACAAATCTTCCCTCTAAAGACTGGGGAAAGCATTGCTAAGGCTAAGGTTTTACTAAGCTACACTTCAACCCTTTAATTTTACTGAATTATCTTTTTTTTATTTTTTGAGGTGGAGTTTTGCTCTTGTTGCCCAGGCCGGAGTGCAGTGGTGCAATCTCGGTTCACTGCAACCTCCTTCTCTCGGATTCAAGTGATTCTCCTGCCTCAGCCTCCCAAGTAGCTGGGATTACAGGCATGTGCCACCATGCCCAGCTAATTTTGTATTTTTAGTAGAGACAGGGTTTCACCATGTTGGTCGGGCTGGTTTTGAACTCCTGACCTCAAGTGATCCACCCACCTAGGCCTCCCAAAGTGCTGGGATTACAGGTGTGAGCCACTGCTACTGGGAGTGAGAACCTCCTTGATGCCTTTTGGCCAATTGGATGATACTTTTTCCAGGCCCCGCCCATGGCCGCCCATGGACCAATCAGCACACCTGTCCTCCCTCCTGAGCCCAGGTAAACCTCAATAAAACCTCAGCCTATTTACCAAATTATTCATGTTTTAATATATCTGGAGAAGTCTAGCCTATCAAAACCTACAGAACAGAAACACAGAGTGAAGCACAAGTTCACAAAAGCAGCAAGTAGTCAAATCTGATCCACAGGGTGCTTTGGTCACTTTTTTCCTTGTAAACTGTGTTATTTATTTGATACCCATTGTATTTTTAATATTAATGATTGTGGAGAAAGTGCTAATAATATAAGGTATTTCTGTTTCTAATTTTGAGTAGGTATCAGGCAAAAGTAATACCCAACAGAAGTTTTCCAATTTCTCCAGGTTTTCTTGCAAATTAATATCCTGTTTCCCTTTTACAGACTAAACCTAAACCAAGCAGAAAAGACTGTTGAAAATTACTGACTAGCAGATAAAAAAATTAAGGTAATGATCTTAGGTGTCATTCAGAAAGTTGGGACTACCAATTCTCTGGGTGTGAAATTGCCTCTTCTGTGATGAGCTCTTTGGTTTGGCAGTTTGGTAGCCCCTCCAAAACAGGTTCAAAATAGGCAAAAACAGGTCCAATACATACAAAATAAGCAAAACAAAGGCAAAAAAGGCCAAAACAAAGATTCTTGGGGCAGAAAGCCAAGCTATTCTTTTGTCATAATCTCTCTCTCAAAAGAAGAAACCTGAATAAACTTTAGTTTTATAGCAAACCCAATATACTAAAACATCTTGATAGGTTTCATGTGGTCAATACAATGTGCAAAAATTTTAAGTTCAGTCAGTCGGTGTTTATACAAACTGCATAAAACATCACAATAAAGTGTGACCTATTTTTATTTTTTTATAACTCACTTTCTAAAATATAGTCTCCAGAATATACTTTTTTTTTTTTTTTTTTTTTTTTTTTTGAGATGGAGTTTCGCTCTTGTTGCCCAGGCTGGAATGCAATGGTGCAGTCTCGGCTCCTTGCAACATCCGCCTTCTGGATTCACGTGATTCTCATGCCTCAGCTTCCTGAGTAGCTGGGATTACAGGCGCCCGCCACCACCCCCAGCTAATTTTTGTATTTTTAGTAGAGACAGGGTTTTGCCATGTGGGCCAAGCTGGTCTCAAACTCCTGAGCTCAGGTGATCCACCAGCCTTGGCCTCCCAAAGTGCTGGGATTACAGGCATAAGCCACCGCGCCTGGCCTTTCAAGTACACTTTCTTTGAGATAGGATCCCAAGAAATAACTTACAAACAACATTATTCACGCAAAACCATTTTAGGTCCAATCCTCTAGCAATGGAACCATATGACCCCCTTTCCACTCAGGGCAACATTTCAGATAACCAGTAACTATTAAACATGGCATTAATGAGCTGCAATAAACATTACTCCTATAAAAATCATCTGAAACTGGCCAATTTCAATCATCCCTATAGTCTCTTGAGAAAAGCTACTTACACTAGGCAATAGTACTATTACCCTACGGTTGTAAAAATGTTGCTTCCAAGCTTTACATATAAACATATCCCCGCTCAATCCATCATCATAAAGAAATATGATTGAATATTTTTATATTAGCATCTAACTACATATAAATATCCTGATTTTATACTAAGATACCTCATAATGGTTGACTTTAAGTTTAAAATCAAGCTCTCAATTAAGTTCTGAACAAAATGTATTACCCAGCCCTATCTACTAGACCACAATGTAATTCAACCAATTTATAATAATAATAACCAGGAATTAATTAAATGTGGAACTTCTTTCTGTGACAAAAACAAAGAGGAGCAAACTTCTTTACCTACAGAATGCATTATCTTTCTGATCTTAGCCTCCTAGTACTTAGATTTTGATGACCTTCAGACACTTTTCCAAAACCATATGATATGATACACATACTCCAAGAAATAAAGGAAAGATAAATAGAAAACTCTACAAGGAGAATGCAGATTTCTTCCCTCGCCAACCGTAGTGCTGTAGTAATTGTGGCAGATACTGGGGCCATCCTCCTCTAACTTCAATTCCACACTCCACAAATGACTAGTTGTGAGATCCTAGGCATGTTAGTAAACCTTTCTCTGTGCCTTGGTTTCCTCACCTGTAAAATGAAGAAAGCAATGGTAACAATTTCACAAGATTGTCTGAGGAAGAAATTAGTTAACATATATAAAATACTTAGAAGAGTACCTGGCACATGGTTGGCTTCCCAGCTGGGCTAGCTGAGATCATTACTATTACATCAATGGCAGCCATGGTTGCCAGGCCCTCTCCTACCCCAACTGTCCCTGCTATTCCTGTTATATTTCCAGTAAGTTTAAAGAACTAGATTTTTCCATGAGTACAGTTAGTCCTGGATAAGAATACCCAGACAACCAAATGGTAAATACTGTAGCCTGGGCGGGGGATGGTAATTCTGGTTTTAAACTTTTATGGGTTATATATGCCAAAAAAATCATTTACTACAGGTAGGCAAATAAATACTGAGTTCTCACTGACTAAGGCCAGGCAACGGTTTACTGCTGCAGAGAACTACACAGAAATCTACCTTTCCACTCACAAAAGCATTCTGTCCTTCCCGTCTCTCTCCATTTCCACTACAATGCCGAGTGAAGCTGTTCAGTGTTGAACATGTACTCAATAAGCAACACAGACCAGAATGGTAAGTGTCCTGTGCATGCCATGTGCTCACTGAGTTTCATTATCAGCAATGTTGTTTTTCCACCCACTCAACCAAGGTTTCTGAAATTTAACACACAAAACAATGGGTAATTGCAAGGAATGCCACATCTTTTCCATGGGCTCTGTCCGCAGTTCATGCAGCGAATACTAGACTTTGCCAGAAGGTACTATTACTGTCAACTTATAGAAAGTGACTAAACTGACAACAACAAAAAAACCCACTTTATTTTCACCCTTTCATATACAATAGGTTTGTAACCCTAAAACTAAGAGACAGTTTATAAAGTAATCAAAACTCCTTCATATGTATCAATTAGCCTTTTCTTAAGGGATTATCCAGGTGGAATAAAACTCTGTCACCCATTTAATAACACATTATAAATGTATTCTATGCTTTTATTTTTGTCTGTGCATGTATGTATACATGCACAGAAATGGACCATGAGTTGGAAACTCAGAGTTCTATTTTGCTCAGGAGAAATAAAAAATATTCTCACAATTCTATTTGCCAAGGCAGCCTGGTTTATTTATGAAAACTTGGCCACAAATGGTCAGAATAAAGGCATTTCAATGGGGCTGTCTCTTTATTCCTTTTTCTCTGCTCTTTTCTCACTCTCCTTAAGAAGCGTCTCCGGTGCATGCTTGGTTTCTAAAGGTCTGATGAGACTATGGATGCTACAGTGAATGCTGAAGTCTGAAAGAAATATTTCTCTCTCCCTCGCTTTGAGTCAGAAAATTCTGAACACAAGAGGATCCATTCAAGGCATGATGGAGTGCCTCACAGAGGCAGCAATATGTTCACAGTTGGCAAACACAGATCTGTTTGGACAGTGAGTACAGCCATCCACTCAGCAAACATCAGCTTTCCTATTAGTTCACAGCAGAAAGAACGAGACGCTGGCGGCCCTTCTTTCAGACTCCAACACCACTTTGGGACAAGCCTTCTAAACAAAATGCCTTTGTCTGACAGTCACAATTCAGTGGGTCCCAACGGCTTTCTTAGAAGCTATGTCTGTCTATTCACAATCACATTCGGGCCCAAAAATCATTTGTAAAAGTCTGAAGGGAAAAAAAGTGACGGGAAATACCCCAATTTCATTGTGTAATAAAAGACAAGGGGTGCCTGAATGGCTTTACACCAATCACTAAGAGCAGCAGCTGGAAAGGTATGAAATGTATGATGGATTCTCATGGGATGTCTCTCCCCTTAGGTGCTTTTGGGAGCCTGCCTGTTGTTACCACTGCGATCTGGAAGAACACCAAGCATAATCTTTCAAAGAAAATCAGCGAAAAGATAAAGCAAATCAAAGGGCAAACCTCCTATTGAGTTTCATTCTTATGTGAATGTAACATCCTTCCCCATAAGGTTTCAAAATAAAATGCTTATGCAGTTTCTTAAGAATTGATGGCTCAGAAAGATAGAAAAACTGGCTAGGATGTTCTGTTATACCAAAATTTCACCAAATCCTCAATGTCATAAATAAATAAATTCAAAGAGAAGACAAACCGATGTCCTGTCTTGCTTTCTCCCGCCTTTGGGCATGAATTTGCTATCTGACCACTTGCTCCTACATACCTGACAAAAGAAACCCATCAGAATGACATTTTGTTTAGCATTAACACAAAATCCAAAATTTTAACAAGAAATTACAACATTCTCCTTTTAAAAATATGAGTAAGTGCCACAGGGGAAGGGGGGCAGGGAGAGAGACAATGTCCTCCAGGATGTTAGAGTGCCCACAGCTTGTCACATATTTTTATTGCTAAGTATTCATTCCCACTTCTATATATATCGAAAATAATGGGTAAATTTCAGAATCCACAGAACTCCCCATGTAATATGTTTTTAAGGACAAACACTCAGGAAAACTACTGCCAGCCCATGGCCGGCTTTGGTACAGCTCACAAGCTAAAAATGGTTGTCACATTTTTAAAGGGTTGTAAAAGAGTATGCATCAGAGACTGTATGTCTGCAAAGCATGTTATTTACCATCTTGCCCTTTACAGAAAAAGTGTGCCACACCCGCAGCAAACTATTAAAAAGGCTCAAGTAATAATTCTTAATTTTGTTTAAGCCAAATCATGAATGTGGAGCAAAATTATGAATGTGCTTTCAGGCAATCTCTTCCAGGGGTCATGGACCAGAGACTCAGGGGAAGGTGGAATGACCGCCCTGAGAACAGAAGGGTCTACACGGGAATCTACTCATTCAATAACAGATGGTTAATGAGACCATTCTTAAGACTTTATAAGAAGACAAATCTTGCATCCTTTGGGAAAGAGACCAATACACTGTTCCGTTTGGAGAATTTCTAACTTACAAAATTAGGAATAACCACTTGCCCTTACAAGGGGGTGTTAGTTGAATCAAGTGTGTCAAAGGATATGACAGAAAGTATCTAACAGGGGACGGGAGGGATCTTTACTACTATCATGTGTAGTTCTCTGGTCTTCTTGTAGAATACACAAAAGGAAATACTGGCCGAAAAAAAGCCAAAGCAAGGCAGAAGGCTTTATAAAATTCTTACTTTTTCTTTCTACATGCACAAATACAACCTCATACAGACCAGTCTGTATTGCTTAAGACTAAAGATTTCTGTGTTTTTCAATGAATAAAGGAAAGACGCCTTTTTGCAGGGAATGCTTAGCCCAAATTTCTAACTTACAAATAAAGAGTCATTAAAGAGAGGGAGGAAAAAAAGGGTACCGGGAAATTCTAGATGATGTAACTTCAAGTTCCTGCCTCATGATGGCCGACTCAACTCAGTCTGGAAATCTGGCATATGTGATTTGCCAGCTCAACTGCAGTTGCCTTTTAAGGAGCTCAAAATTTCATGCACTCAAGGGTTTATTTGTGAAGCCAGTCACTTTTTAGGAACTAATCATATATACATAATATTCTAAGTACAACATGTATCCAAGTTATTACATCATGCAAAAATGCACGAAGTAGAGCTGCCAGATAAAAGAGCACACCCAGATAAAGTTGAATTTCAAAAACACAGCAAATAACTTTTCATACCAGCATATCCCAAGTACTGCATGGGACACAATTACACTAAAAAAATGCTGTATATCTGAAATTCAACTTTAACTGGGCATCCCGTAAATTTATTTCCTAAATCTGGTAACCCTGCCATGAAAACATGAAGGCTATTCTGATATCCACTAAACAGCTGCCATCTTGTAACACGCCATGGTCTGGAGTTGGAGAAATTGCTAAGGGTGACTCAGACTCTCATTAAGTCAGCATTTCGTGCAAAGAATGGTCTAGAAAGATAGTTAATACCCACCAGGAGATTCCCATTGCTTTGCTTAGACAACCACAGGGAAATAAAAGGCCCATGATAGGGAAATCCTCTAGAGCTTACAGTACTGCTACCACTTCTCATGAGGTCACACTGAACAAAAGAGCCCAGTGGCAGAAGAACACTGCTGGGGAGCTAACTAAAAGGCCCACTCCACCGCACGTACGCACGCATATCCCATGTCCCTAATATGTCCAAGTAGTAGTGTTATTGTTTGTTTGTTGTTATGGGAGAAAGAAAAGAGGAAAAAAAACCTCACAGACACTCCAGGGTCTGGAGAGCAGCCAGAAGCAGGGTGGAAAAACTCCACCCTGCGCTTCCCCCACTGGGGCTGCAGCTTTCGTGAGAGGGCACCATGCCAGAACCCAGCCATTCTGGTAGGTTTCCAATGGAAGCGCTAACAGAACTTCACCGTAGGAGCCATTAGAGAGGCTGGCTGGGGCAGGGAGCTCTGAGAATATGGCTGGCCAAGTATTCAAACAGGAATAAGATAGTAAGCATAAAAATTCTGAACCACTGTTCAAACAAATCCATAAAGAAGTTGGTTTCCATTAACAAGTGTTATTCAAACTCTAGCTTTCTGCCCACATATGTGTACGGCAGAGATATTGAAAACAATTGCCACAAAGATAGCTCTTTTGTTAAAAATTAAACAAAAGAAAGGTACTCGGGTGCTGGGTACCCTTTTGAGAAAACGCTTCAAATTCTCTTTCCCCTCCCAAACAACAAGATCCATTTTTACCTAGTTTTCAGGTACAGTTTTATTTTTCAAGCTAGGTCACTTATCTGAGGGAATATACCATTGCATTCATTTGTTTAAACTACGGCTCAAATGACAAAAACAATTACAGATGCTCCTCCACTTAAGAGGGGGGTTACATTCTGATAAACCCAGCATAAGTTGCAAATATCTTGTCAAAATTGCATTTAATACACCTAACCTACCAAACATCATAGCTTAGCCTAGCCTGGCTTAAACACACTCAGAACACTTACATTAGCCTACAGTTGGGTGAACGCATCTAACATAAACACTATTTTATAATAAAGTATTGAATAACTCATGTAATTTATTGAATACTGTACTGAAAGTGAAAAACAGAATGGTTTGCACGGGTACTCATATGGTTTTTGCCAAATGCATATCACATTTGCACCATTATAAAGCCAAAAAATCACAAGTCTAACCATTGGGGACCTTCTGTATACAGCAGGTCTTTGAATAACGTTTCATTCAACATCATTTCATGATAACATTGATAAGAGAAAACAAAATTGACTCCTGGCCAAGGCCTCTGTGTGGAGTTTCCCCGTTCTCTTCTCCTCATGTCTGTGTGGGTTTTCTCTAGGTACTCCAGTTTCCTCTCACATCTGAAAGATGTGCACATTAGGTGCACTGGTGTGTCTAAACTGTCCAGTCTAAGTGAGTGTGGGTATGTGTTTGAGTGTGCCCTGTGATGGAATGACATCCTGTCCAGGGTGGGTTCCATCTGTTCCTTGTAATATCAGGATAGGCTCTGGCCCCCGCAACACTGAACTGGAATAATGGGTTAGAGAATGAATGAATGAATGAATGAATGAATGAATACAAAGTATTGTAAAACAGAAATGTGTAAAGTATATGGTAACCATACAAATGCACGAAACACAAAAGCGCGCAGAGAACCCACCATATTTATTGTTTGTTTGTAAACTGTGTGGTGGCAGGAGATGTTCCTCACAATTTTCACTTCGCAAACATTTATTCCTTAATTTAACCTGCCACCACCATGACTGCTGTCACTCACTCACTGGGTAAATAATTGTCTTCCTTGTTTTTATCAATCTTTCTTAAATGTGTGTATAGCTCACATTTATTTCCATGTTTACCATTAGAAATGTTTGGGGTCTTTGTTTAGAAGTTTGGTGATGTTTTGGGGGCCTAAAATATGCCACAGGAATTTAATTCTATTTATATCAATTAGCCTATGGTAAAATTAGTTTCATTATACATCATTTTGCTTAAAATAGCAGTTTCCAAGAACCTATTGATGACATTAAGAAAGGATTTAACTGTATACATAACATTTTCCTTGGTAAGTTCAATAGTGTTTTCAAAAATAAAATATTCTAGCCGGGCGCGGTGGCTCACACCTGTAATCCCAGCACTTTGGGAGGCCGAGGCGGGCGGATCACGAGGTCAGGAGATCGAGACCATCCTGGCTAACACGGTGAAACCCCGTCTCTACTAAAAAT
This sequence comes from Homo sapiens, assembly GCF_000001405.40. Taxonomy (NCBI): domain Eukaryota; kingdom Metazoa; phylum Chordata; class Mammalia; order Primates; family Hominidae; genus Homo; species Homo sapiens. The sequence continues at coordinate 172,199,354 of NC_000003.12, read as the reverse complement.
ACAAAAAATTAGCCAGGCGAGGTGGCGGGCGCCTGTAGTCCCAGCTACTCGGGAGGCTGAGGCAGGAGAATGGCGTGAACCCGGGAGGCGGAGCCTGCAGAGAGCCGAGATCGCGCCACTGCACTCCAGCCTGGGCGACAGCGAGACTCCGTCTCAAAAAAAAAAAAATAAAAAATAAAATAAAATATTCTAAACAGCTTCCCTTGGAATATTAAAAATGAAAATGGGCCAAGCATGGTGGCTTACACCTATAATCCCAGCACTTTGGGAGGCTGAGGAGGAAGGATCATTTGAGGCCAGGAGTTTAAGACCAGCCTGGGCAACAAAGTGAGACCCTGTATCTACAAAAAAAATTTAAATATCACCCAGGCATGGTGGTGCACACCTGTAGTTCCAGCTACTCGGGAGGCTGAGGCAAGAGAATCACTTTAAGCCCAGGAGTCCAAGGCTGCAGAGAGCCATGATCACACCACTGCACTCCAGCCTGGGTGACAGAATGAGACCTTATCAAGGAAATGGAAAAGAAAAGAGCTCTTCTTCTTCTTCCTGTTCCTATTCCCTACCTCCAAGGTAGATATCCCAGGCTTAGGGGGTCAGCTTGATATGGGGAGTCAGGAGTGGGATAAGGAAGATGTCTAGATGTGGGAACAGCGCAACATGGAGTATCCACATAAAAGAATGGCCTGTTATGCAATGTGGAAAACAGTCAGGAGGAAGACATCACCTACGATGGCAGTCTGACATCAGGTATCAGAGCCTAGGGTGTGAGGGAAAGATGCACTGAGAGGCTGGTTACATGTACACGTGTCAGATTTCTGTCATAGAAATGGTAGAAGTTTTACAAATATAGAAAGAATTAGAACAACCCCTTGAGTGTTGGATCAGAATTGGAGGTATCAGTGTAAACTCCTTGATATCAAACTACATAGTAAGATGTAAAAATAAATATGTGTTTTTATGCATGTGTATTACCTATGGTGAGTGTCCAAGTATATTCATACATACATTCAAGTATTCTCCAGCTCTATCCACTAAGAGTTTTGGAGAGGCACAACTGCAATACTAACAGGCACATGTACCCCCCCACAGATCTTGGCTTCTAAATACGATTCTCTATTAAAAAAGAAGCCAGGACTTCTTAGAGAAATGGCTCATTCAGGACTAAGGCAGGAAAAGTACAAGATGAATATGAAACATCTCTTTGAACCAGAAAAGATGTGCTCAAAGAATGAAGAGGACATGTTAAAAGCACACATAAGATGGGTTAAAGGAATTTTGAGCATTAAAAAAATAGTAATGTATTATATATAACCCATTGAATTGTAACAAAACCATGAGTTGGTACTATTACAAATAATGAATAAATCAACAATCTGATGAGCAAAGGAATATTTATATCACTTTGAACTACCACCTTACAAAATATTTACTCATTACAATGGGAAAATTAGGACTTCTACAACGGAGAAGACTGGCAGGTACCATCTTAGTCAATGATCAAAGTGATCATCACCAGTAATGAGGCAAATCAATATTATGACCACCTGAAAGAATGCAATGAGAGCACAGTGTCACTTCTGTGATGTTCCTGCCAAAGATGGATAACCTGGATCTAATCATGAGGATATATCAACTAATTGAAATAGGACATTCTACAAAACAGCTGACCTGTAACTGTCACAAGTAACAAGGTCACAGCATTCTGAAAAAGACTGCATTATTGTGCCACTCTCAAAGAAATTAAAAAGACACACCAACTAAAGGACACATATAATTCTGAACTGAATCCTTGTGCTATAAAGGATTTTGTGGGGCTCACCGCCGAAACCTCAATGGGGTCTGAGGATTCAACAGTAGAAATATAGACATCAAAGTAAGTGTCCTAATGTTGATGGTTGTATTGTAGTTATGCAGATGAACATCCTTGTTTATGGGAAATACAACAAATATTCAGGGTTGATGGGCATCAAGAGACCAATTTACTCTCTAACGGTTCAGAAAAAACATGTTCTCTGTGCTATTCAAATTATTTCTCTAAACTAAGTTGGGGTTAGCTAACAAGTGCTGTCAAGTATTTTGCACCGTATTTGTAACAATTCTGCAGTTTTGAGGCTGTTTCAAACATTTTAAATAATTATTATTTTATTTTACTTTATTTTATTTTATTTTATTTTGAGACAGAGTCTCACTCTGTCACCCAGGCTAGAATCCAGTGGTGCCATCTCGGCTCACTGCAACCTCCACCTCCCAGGTTCAAGTGATTCTCCTGCCTCAGCCTCCCGAGTAGCTGGGACCACAGGCACATGCCACCACACCTGGCTAATTTTTGTATTTTTAGTAAAGACAGGGTTTCACTATGTTGGTCAGGCTGGTCTCAAACTCCTGACCTCATGATCCGTCCGCCTCAGCCTCCCAAAGTGGTGGGATTACAGGCGTGAGCCACCATGCCCAGCCAAGAATTGTTCTTTAAAAAAGAGAAAAGTAATAACCGAAAGCATATATTTAACCCAAATACAGACTGCCCATTAATTAACTCACTTACTCTGAGAGCTCCGGCTGTCTTCTTTGGACAAGAAAAAGCGAAACGTGAGGTGCCATCATCTGTGTGGCTCATCCTAACATTACAAGACTTTGAGGGCTGTCCTTAACCTCTAGACCCTCCCTCTTCTATTCAGGATACAATCAGAAGGGAACCTTTCACCAAGCTCTCCCAGGGGTCAGATCACAGAATGTGACCTGAAATGTCAGCCAATTCCCACCTCCATTTTACAGATGAGAAAACTGATGTCCCAGAAAGACCAAGAGTTAGGGCTAAAACTTAGAATGTCCAACTCTAAACTCAAGGAAAAAGACATATGGAAATAAATTATAAAATATTAAAGGCTGGGAGACTCTAATCCCAGTACTTTGGTAGGTCAGGGCAGGAGGATCCTTCAGGCCAAGAGTTTGAGACCAGCCTAGGCAACAGAGCAAGACCCCCATCCCTACAAAAAAAAAAATTAGCTGGGCATGGTGGTAGGCACCTGTAGTCTCAGGTACTTGGGAGGCTGAGGTGGGAAGGACCCCTTGAACCTGGAAGTTCGAGGCTGCAATGAACTATGATTACACCATTGAATTCCAGCCTGGGCAACAGAGCAAGACACTGTGTCTAAAAAAATGTTTTTACATTTAAGGTTAAATTTAAAAATAAATTAAATTTAAAAATCTGAAAAATCTTCCCAGCAATTAAAAGCTTTAGTGTGGGTGGCTTCATCAAATGCCAAGTACCTAAACCTTTCAGATTTAAAGAAACAACTCACAGCTCCCCAGAAAGTGTCCTCTATAATAATTAACATTGTACATTTACAAAGGCTCACATTAAGTGCCAGAAATTATGCTAAGCATTTCATATAATCTCATTTAATCCACACAACTCTTTGAAATCTAAAGGGTTTTATCTCTCATTTACTGTTGAGGAAACTGAGGATTAGTGTCATTATGTAACTGATTTAAGGTCAAAAAGTTTGAGGCAGAAGACCCAAAATTGGGTCCAGGCACTCTGACTGGAATTCCAAAGCCTGGGTTCTTAACTGTGCCCACTCCTGTGTAATTGAACAGCTCATCCTATTCCTCAGGCTGGCTTGTGACTTAACCTGTACTGCTACAAATGAGAATGGTGTCAAATGGGAATGACCCCTTCTGCATTGTACCTCTAAACAATAGTCAAGAACAGAGTTTCTCAAAATGTAATTTGCTGAAAACAAGCACCTCCAGGCATAGAGATAAAAAGAGAAAACAATGTGGAAGAGAGCTAAGTTACACAAAATTAACAGCAGCACAACTTCTCAGATTCTTAACGTGTGTTGTGGAGCTTTAAGCATCTGAAACCTTTTGCCATGGAGCAAAGCTTGTGAAAGCCAGCTTCCTGCCTTGAACAGAATTATTGACCCAGTATCAAGTGTGGTGCATTTTAAAAAATGCTACATAGTGTACCATTTGTTTAAAATAAAATGTTCAATCATTTCATAGCAAGAGCAATTGATATCAAATGACTAAAATAATTTCACACAGTGTTCTCCCTCGGGATCTCAGTTCAAATACTCTTCTATACATTGCAAATACCCTGCCAAGAATCACTCTAAGCAAACAAAAATGGAATGCTAAGTTAAGAGGGGTGGGGGTTGGGGTGCCACCATTCAAGACATAGATCCTTGTAACTAGTAAAAATACTAGTAAAAATAGGTTTTTATCTCAAGATCAAACTTTTTTTAAAATAACTAAAGGTCATGATTTAACTGAAAATAATTTAGACTTTGTTTTCTTTCAGTTTTTACAGACTTAGATTTATTTCTCTTCCTAAAGAAAAATTAGTTATAACCTTGGAAACTAATTCTGTAAGGTCCTCCACAGCTCTGATTAACAACCTCCCAGCGGTGCTAAGGAGTCCTAAGAAGCCGTTACTTCGCCAAGGCAACCTGATAACATAACAGGTTTCTTAGCAACAGGGTAGTCACAGTAACCATTCACCATGGTATTAGAATTAGGTTACCCACCAGAGTTGAGGCCAAAGGAATAATTTAAACTCATTAAATGTATAGGCCCCAGGTAACAAGAAAAATACATTTTTAATGCCACTTGTGATTCACCTCTGAAATTAAGTACTTATATGACTCTTCAGTGCTGGACTAGATGAGTAGATATTTATAAACACAATGTCAAGTGTTTCAAATACTCAATACCCTTTTCTTAATGTGAAGCTATGTATATGATCTATGTCATAATTATATTCTTTTCAATGAGTATTTCCACCAACCCATTTAGCAGTACCATATATAATTTTGATGAAAAGATGCAACTTTATAGAAGCAGTAAGGTAGAATCCAGACGCAGAAAACAATAACTTTGGAGTGAGTACGAAGGATTTTAAAATCCATTTAAATGGCAAATAACCAAAAACAAAAACATGTCTCATTTCACTTGACAGGTAAGGTCATCCATCAACGACAAGAATCACACGTTTACATTTTTGTAGCTCTCAAAGTATCTACTAGAGTACGAAACAGCAGAACCACATAAGGGCTGCTGGTTGAATAAATGCATCAATCAATACTACTCTACAACAGTATAACCACTAAGATAATTTTTCTTTTTTTTTTGAGATGGAGTCTTGCTCTGTTGCCCAGGCTGGAGTGCAGTGGCGTGATCTCGGCTCACTGCAGGCTCCGCCCCCCGGGTTCACGCCGTTCTCCTGCCTCAGCCTCCCAAGTAGCTGGGACTACAGGCGCCCGCCACCTCGCCCAGCTAATTTTTTGTATTTTTAGTAGAGACGGGGTTTCACTGTGTTAGCCAGGATGGTCTCAATCTCCTGACCTTGTGATCCGCCCGCCTCAGCCTCCCAAAGTGCTGGGATTACAGACGTGAGCCACCACGCCCGACCACCACTAAGAGAATTTTTAACATTTGGCCTGCTCACCCACAATTCTTATTTATCCAAAAACTTACTCCTTTCTTCCATTCACCCTTCAGTGTGAACACTTTAGTTATTAAAAAGATGATGTTATTTTTGAAAAGCTTTGTTGATCTTCCTTTTGTGGAACTAGTATAGTCTGTGATGTACTTTCCTCACAAGGGCACATTTCTAGACATCAAATACAGGTCCCTTCCAACATGGAGTACAAGCACAAGGAGGAGGAAAGAAAACAGGCCAAGTGAATCCAGACAGACCCAGGCTTCCCAAATCCTAGACAAAGTCCAGCAGTAGTGGGGATGGCAGAGGTGCCATCAGCCAGCGATCAAAATGCTACAGGGCATGCAGAGCAGACCCCTTAACCCCAAGCATAAGATTACAAATCAACCATGAATTAGGAGCTACACACCAAAACAAAAAGTCACTCAAAGTAACTGGTCTACTAAAAATTGAGTAATATGATCCATCTAATGCATCTAAATATTCTGCAATATCCCTTATTATACTTGAGACTAGCAACCTAAATATCTTGAAAAAAATTATAGAGAAAGCAGTTAGAGGAAGGAAGGGAAGGGAAGGGGAGGGGAGGGGAGGGGAGGGGAGGGGGATGGGAGAGGGAGGGGAGGGGGAGGGGGAAGGTAGAGGGAGAGGGGGAGGAGGGGAGGAGGGGAGGAGGGGAGGAGGAACGGAGGGAGGGATGGAAAGGAAGGGAGGGAGGGAGGGAGAGGAAGGGCGGGAATGAGGGAAAGGTGGGAAGGAAGGGAGGCAGGGAAAGGAAGGGAGGGAGGGAGGGAGGGAGGCTGGCTATGACCTAATATTGACACAGTAACACAAGAGGACAGATTTGGAGAGATAGGACAAAAGGACAAAAATAAGCAATTAACAAACAATCACAAGCAGACATTTAAGACAATCATTAATTTTCAAAGTAACTGCATTCTTCATACTGAAACTCTACAGATAATAAATTCTTTCAGATAACCGAGTTTGAGTTTTGACAAAAACTCAAACTGGTTGGTTTTGTTATTTCCAGTCTAGGGGAATAAACTGCATTTGTTACAGTCAACTCAGAGGTTCTGCAATTAAAGCCTTTTTACTAAAGTCAGTCCACTGGAGGCTACAGGCTCTTCATCTGAGAATCTTCAATAAGATGAGGTAAAAAATATATATATATATATTCATGCCCTGTAATTAGAGATCCTAACCGTCAACATTTATAAAATAAGACATTTATAGAATAAACACATGTGAGTGAACCACACTAGAAAGGTAAAAATTACTGAATTAGTATTAGTACTTATAAAACAGTTCCTGGCCTCTGCTATAATCAAGAACTTCTCTATTCACTCAGATTAGAGTTATTACTGTAAAATCTTTGTTTACTTGCCTCCCTCTTCAATTTTCTTACAATTAAAGACCATACCAGCCAGGCGCGGTGGCTCACACCTGTAATCCTAGCACTTTGGGAGGCCGAGGCGGGCGGATCACAAGGTCAGGAGAGCAAGACCATCCTGGCTAACACGGTGAAACCCTGTCTCTACTAAAAACACAAAATAATAATAATAATAATTAGCCAGGGGTGGTGGCACATGCCTGTGGTCCCAGCTACTCAGGAGGCTGAGGCAGGAGAATCGCTTGTACCAGGGAGGCGGAGGTTGCAGTGAGCCAAGATCACGCCACTGCACTCCAGCCTGGGGGACAGAGCAAGACTCCCTCTCAAAAAAAAAAAAAACAAAAAACACACACAAAAAAAACAGTCTTCTGTGTATTTGGTTAACAAGAGTTGGCTTTCCAAAGCCTGATCCAACCAAGCCTTCCTCCACCTTCCCAGGTAAACTTAAAATTGAGTTTCCTATCCTCTGAAACTAAGAATCAGATTGCTATGTTAAGAGAAATTATAGGTCTGGTAACATATGTACCACATACATGTACCACCCCGACCACACTTCAGGGCCATGGCATACACCACCAGACACTGCATTTGTCCCACTAAGCCCAGAGGCTACTTCTATATCCTCTACACAGCGCTCCAATCAGCTACAGTCAATTGATTGAGAGTTGGCAGAAGAGTCAAAACCTCATTTTCCCTGCTGCAAAATACACAGTGCCTGACACAAGAATTTGAGGCCAGGCACGGTGGCTCACGCATGTAATCTCAGCACTATGGGAGGATCACTTGAGCCCAGAAGTTCAAGACCATCCCAGGGAACACAGTGAGACCCCATCTCTACAAAAAATTTAAAAATTAGCCAGGCATGGTGGCATGCACCTGTAGTCCCAGCTATTCAGGAGGCTAAAGCAGGAGGATTGTTTGAGCCCAGGAGGTTGAGGCTGCAGTGAGCCATCATCACACCACTGCACTCCAGCCTGGGTGACAGAGTGAGACCTCATCTCTTAAAAACAACAACAATGAATTTGAAACCTAGATCCCCCACTCAAAGAATCTGCTTAACCTCTGAGAAATTCAGGCCCTCCTGTCTCTAGAATGGGGAATGATGATGAGGAGGACAATAATGATGGTATCAGTGACAATACTATCAGTTCTGATGGTACTTTAAAGAGTAAAATTTGCCCAGCACGAAGCAAATGTTTAATACATGTTAAGTTCTTCAAGGACACTCCCACTTCTTTCAATATATGCCAACATGTTAACATCAACCAAATTAAAAATCATGAGCACGTGCACAAAAACTCAGTGTGATGAGGCTAAAGAACCCAGGCTCCATTCATCAATAGCTGTGTGCTGTGCAACCTTGGGCAAATTACATGGCTTCTCTGAGCCTTAGTCTCTTCGTCTGGAACATAAGGAGGGTTGGTTATATTCTACAGTCTCATCTATTTATATAATTATATGATTTTAGATGTGAAATAAGATTAAAATATAAAGATAATTTCAAGTTCTTTCTTCAATATTTCATCATTAAACAAAAGACACAATGGGGCTGGGCATGGTGGCTCACGCCTGTAATCCCAGCACTTTGGCAGGCCAAGGCAGGCGGATCACCTGAGGTCAGGAATTCGAGACCAGCCTGACCAAAATGAAGAGACCCCGTCTCTACTAACAATAAAAAAATTAGCCGGGCATGGTGGTACATGCCTGTAATCCCAGCTACTTGGGAGGCTGAGGCAGGAGAATCGCTTGAACCCAGGAGGTGGAGGTTGCGGTGAGCCAAGATCGTGCCATTGCACTCCAGCCTGGGCAATAAGAGCAAAACTCCATCTCAAAAAAACAAAACAAAACAAAACAAAAAAAGACACAATGGTTATCAAACCAAGGCAAATTTTTGAATATTTAATCATAAACCCCTCCCTAGAAGGCGTCACAATAAAATAAACTGAACCATTATGGTTTAATTAGTTTATCCACTTGAGCCTTTTAATATTTACAAGGGCAAAATTTGAAAATTGACTACAGAATGAAAGGAGAGTCTCATGACCCAAATGCTGAGTGAAATAGATGCTGCAATCCGATTCCTAGCATTTGGA